>NT_167246.2:4239475-4436038 GCF_000001405.40 Homo sapiens
GGCCACAGGCTTACTGGTAGACCCCCGAGTACAAGGCATTTGACCCTGGTTTTGAGTACTCCTCCTCCAGGTGGATGGCTGTGGAGCTCACACTGGCGAGGGCTTGTGTGGAGCCGAGGATAAGGAGGCATCAGAGGGCACTCAAGCCACTGGGTCTAACTTCCTCCCTTCTTCCTGCCCACACCTACCTTAGTCTTTCCCAGATGTTTTATTGCATTTGGAAATGGAGACAAACACTCAACACAGGCTAAGTGAACAAGGACACGGCACGGAGATGATCAGATGCAGTAACAGCATGAGCGGGTGGAAGAGGCGTGTGTCCCCTTCTTTGTAGACAGCACCATGGCTGGCTTCTGCAGCTTCCCTCAGAGCTGAAGGAAGGGCCATGTGGAGAGGAGAGGAAGGGCCTAGACAATATGGATCAAACGGGGGCCTGTATTTAGATTTAGAGGAGAGAGGGGGTTGATAAATGGCAAGGGATGTGGGGATGGGGAGGAAGTGGAGGATATGGCGCTGGACCAGAAAGTTAGGAGGGCTGCTCTTTCTTCTCTGTAAATGTGTCTAAGGCTCACAAACTCTAAAATCTGACTTGCCTACATAATAATAGCTAATGTTTGTCAATTGCTTATTATGAGTTCATTTTCTAAGCATTATATAAATGTGTGCGTGTGTGTGTATGAGAGAGAGAGAAAGAGAGAGAATCATCACACAAAACCCTTTGCAGTAGATACTATCATGATCTCCCTTTTACAGATGAGGTAAGGATGGAATGAACCAAAGTTCACATAACTAGTAAGTCCCTAGGCTATACTTTTTCTGTCACACTGTATTTCTTGGGAAGCCAGGGAAACTTTATTCCTACAGCTTTAGCATTCCGGTAATGATAAGGTACACAAAAAGGGAAAATAACCAAGGAATTTCATCATAGCTGTTTGGTGTCAGGACAGATCTCTGTAAGGAAATCATATCCTACCTAACCAAAGGAAATCAGTGATCTCACATGACAAGCAAGGAATGGCATAGAGCCTGGCATGGGAACTAAGAAGAGAAAGCAATAAGCTTCAGTTAGCAAGCTATGGATCTCCTTAGATGGCCTCTGGTACATCTTAAATAAACTGAAGCATCAGATTCACCCCCATTAGAAGCGTTTTTGAGTCATTTTCTGTGCATAGTGTCAGTGTCTACGATAGAAGGGCCTGGGCTTATCAGAGACACTGTTCAGTTCTGGGGAGACAAGAGGAAAAAGATGTGGTTTTCTTCCTTTCTCCTGTATTTATGTTTTTGTCTTCTACTTGAACGAGCCTGAAAAATAGGGCAGGGTGTTTTGATCTTTTTTTCCTGCCTGACTTCAGCCAGCAGCCCTCCCTAAATAGCTACAGGCTCCTCTGTGATTTTTCACTCAAGCTCATATTTTGCTTCTCTCTTTTCTTTCCTTCCCCTTTCTCTGAGGAGTGAGAGAATTTGGGTGTATGTGTGGTTGTTTTTTGAGGGTGGCATAAAATTATTATTCTCCCTATTGCCTGACACAAATATCCCTTCAACTGCTATTTTGGTGACTTTGACATGGAAGTAAAACGTACATCTCAATTCATTTTCTTCCTTCTACTTCCTCCTAACACATCAACATAATCCACACTGCCCTGGAGGAGTTATGAAAAATATTCTGAGTTTCTAGGTAGAATATTAAATCATACTTTTAGAGAACACATTGTTGAGCTACAGTTTAATTGAAGGAATTGTACTAGGCTAAGAATTTTGCCAGCTCAAAATACTGGTTTAATTCTTTCTCAGTGGTGATTGACGTCTCAAACCAGCAAGAGGTGTAACATGAGGGGAAGGGGCTGGGGAAGAGGGAAAGGATGTAAGAAACAAAAGAAATAGTTAGAATTTGGGGTGTCCAAAGCAAACTCATGATCCCACCTAGTGAGAATCCATTTGGAAACTGAGGAACCAAAGGCTTTGGGCTCCAATCTGCAGCCACTTCTTTGATACGACTTTGGGATAGGTGGACTCACCCGAAGTATTGTTTTACATGTACTATTTGCCTCAATTTCCCTGTGATGGTTTTGTCCATCACCTCATCCTGAAAAAATAAATGTTGGTGATGCTTTGTTCCACATATTCGTTCATTTGAACTCATTATTCCCAGGAAATATCCACTGAAATTCAAAATATCATGAACTTCCAAAGGGTTTTCTAGAAAAAAAAAACAAAAAAAACCCCTTGATCTTAATGGGTGTTTTTTAATCTGTGCTAGAATCTGTTTGCAATGTTTTATTTAGGATTTTTGTGTCAGTATAATAAGTAAATTCATCTACAATTTTTATATTTGTGCATTGTCATAGTTTAACATCAATATTATACTTGCTTCATAAAAAAATTTTCTTCTATGCCATTGAGCCATTTAATTTTTGTTTGTTTGTTTGTTTGTTTTAGAGACAAGGCCTCACTCTGTTGCCCAGGCTGGAGTGCAGTGGCACAATCATAGCTCACTGCAGCCTTGAACTGGGCCCAAGCGATCCTCCCACCTCAGCCAAGTAGTTGAAACCACAGGCACGAGCCACCACATCTGGCTAATTTTTGTATTTTTTGTAGAGACGGGTTTTCGCTGTTGCCCACACTGGTCTTGAGCTCCTGAGTTCAAGCAATCCGACTGCTTAGGCCTCCCAAAGTGCTGGGATTATAGGTGTGAGCCACTGCACCCGGCCTCTATTTTCAATTTTAAAAGTTTGATATAGATGTAGCATATCTATTTTTTTATTGATAGTAATATCTTCTATCTTCTGTGTTCATACTTTTTTTTTTTTTTTTTTTTGAGGCAGAGTCTCACTGTGCCGCCCAGGCTGGAGTGCAGTGGTGCGATCTTGGCTCGCTACAACCTTTGCCTCCCAGATTCAAGCAATTCTCCTGCCTCGGCCTCCCAAGTAGCTGGGATTACAGGCGCCCACCACCACACCCAGCTAATTTTTGTATTTTTGGTAGAGACAGGGTTTCACCATGTTGGCCAGGCTGCCCTCGAAATCCTGACCTCAGGTGATCCACCCGCCTTGGCCTACCAAAGTGCTGAGATTACAGGCATGAATCACCAGGCCCAGCCTATTTTTTTGTCCACTTAACTGGTCTAGTCCAGGGAAAGGGAATTAAAGTGTTCTATTGGTAGTACATTTCTGAATATTTTCCTTGTATCTACCTTAATTTCTGCTTTATAAGAGCTACCTATTTGGTATTTAGAACTTAAACACATGTCTCATATATTCATATGAATTTTATACTTTACATTATAAAGTGCCCTTCTTGTCACACTCAATTTTTTTTTTTTTTTTTTTTTTTGGTGAGGAGTGTCTGAATTTCATCTTGTTTGGTAAGACGAATGTGACCTCTGCTTCCCTTTTGTTTGCCTTCTCTTGTTATGTCTTTGCCCATCATCTTATTTGTTGAAAATAATGAATACATCTTTCTGAGTGGCTTTATGTTAGGTGTCTTTTGCATATTGCAAATAATAGAGTTTTTATCTTAATCTAATTTAAAAATATTTTCATTTATTTAGTTCAGTTAAGAAGCCCATTTATAATTATTCATACAGCAAATAGATTCAGTCTAATTCAGAGATATTAACTTCTGTTAAGTATAATGTTTACATGAGTATTTTTAAAAATCTTTCACTATGTCTTTATTGTGCATTTTAAAAATTTTACCTTTTCAGATATTAAGGAAGGTGTATATTTCAAGGTTGCTTTGATAAGTTTATTTGTATATAATACACTTAGTTCCCTCTTCCTTTAGATAATTCCTATTAGTTTTAAATAATGAACAATCACAAAACTAGCTCATATCCTCTCCCTTCCTCTTTCTGTGTGTGTGTCTACCTTTGTAGTCTTAAATGTGTAAATACGAGCACTTGATTTATTAGTTTTAAAGAATATATTTTGATTCCTAGATGTTACAGACAAGAACATCAACAGGCTTATTTGATATCCTTATTCATTTTTCCACTTATTCTATAATCATTGAGAAATGTGTTTCAATTTCTCAATTAATTTCTTCCTATAATTCTCCTATATTTCTTACATATTTTGTAGTTTTATTGCTAGGTGCAAACTGATTCAGTTTTAGTATAATGTTCTGGTGACTTCATTATCACTATGTAATGGCTGTCTTTGTTTTTACTAATGCCTTTGGTTTTAGACTATATGTTTAGATATTTCTGTAATTACATAAGCTGTCTTTCTGTCTTCTGTTAGTGTTTGCTTTGTGTATCTTATATCTGGTTTTGATTTAACATTTTCATGTTTTTAGGTTTCTTGTGATCTTATGAAGGGCATATAACTGGATTTTGCGATATTGTTAATCTAATCTGAGAACTTTCCTTTAACTCCCATATTTAAGCTATTTATACTTGTGATCACTGTGCTATTTACATTCGTTTCTGTTACAATATATGGTGCTCTGTATTTGCTATGTCTTACTTTGCTTCTTTTGTTTTCCTTGCATCACTTATATTAAATCAATTACATTTTTATTTAAAGTATTATTTAATTTCCCCTTACTGATTTAGGAATTTTAAATTCTAATTATATTAGTTAAAAGTCAGTCTTATATTTTTAACATGTTTACCAAATGTGGCAGCATCTGAAGGTAATCAATATCTCTACCCTCCTTTCAAACAAGACAAAGACTTTAGGTGCTTTAACTTTGTCTGCCTCATTCTCATGTCACTTGTGGTTGCTCTGCCTTATTTTTAAATTTAATAGTCATTTTTATTACTGATTTTTATCGTTACAGTCATATTTCATTTCTCATTCTGATTTTCCAATATTTTAGACAGATTTGTTATTGTTGTTTGTGTGTGTGTTTATTTTTCTCATCTTTGCTCCCTTATCCTTCTGGGTTTAGTATCTCTGTTACTTACATGATAATATTAAAAAGCAAATGATAACTACAATACAATGCTACTTTCACCCAGAAGATTGTCAAAATTTTAAAAATTAACACTGTCTGTTGGTTATATACATATATATATATATGGAGAAACAGATAAACTCATATGTTGCTGCTGGAACTATAAATTAATACAGCCTCTATGAAGGCAATTTTGCAATATCTATCAATATTTGTAATGTATATATTGGACTCAGCAACTCCCCTTTAAGATTGTATCATACTTGTATTTTTGCACATGTGCATTACAATGTCTATACAAGACTAACTAGCAACAGCAAAAGACTTCCAATAACCTAACTAGCCATCAGTAGAAGGAAACAGGATAAATGAAATATGGAACTTCCATAAAATAGAATACTACATAGCCATATATTTTTAATTTAAAAAATAAAGTTCAGAACAGTGAACTTAGACAGCTGCTGTTTGCGAAAATACTGAGCAAGAATAAAGATATACATATTTGCTTAATACACAGTAAACTTCTCTGGAAAGATAAACACAAAGCTGGAAGAACGGATTGCCTATGCAAGAGGAATTAGCAAACCTTGAGAAGGATTGAGAGTGAGGCTTTCCTCTGTATACTTCTTTGTGTCTTTTGAATTTCAAACCACATTCATATATTGCTTATTTAAATAAATAAATAATATATTTTAAAAAGAGGATAGTAGGAAGATAAGTGGAGTCAGGGAGTATAGGCAACTCTTTTGAGGAGTTTTATGCAAAGCTGGGCAAGTCCACCTCTTCCTTAGCTATGTGACCCAGGCAAGTTAGTAAATGTTTCTAAAACTCCATTTTCTCACTCTTAGAATTGAGATAGTAATACCTGCCACATAGAATTATCTTGAAAAATAAGGTAAGAAGACAGGTTTCAGATACTTGGCACAGCAATAGCACATAGTAAGCACCAGTGAATGCTTAGTAGTAGTAGGAGTCTAATTCCTAAGAGTCCATGGAACTCTAGGTTCAAAACCCAGTTTCTTCTGGGACCATTAGATGGCATCAGACTCAAGCAGGTGCTCCTCTAGCTGACAGCTCTAAAACACAAGGAAGATCTTTGTTTTCCTTATTCCCTAGTCCTTTCCCCACAAAATTCTGACAATTACGCATTTCCTGCTTGTTTCACAATTGCCATGTGGATTCCAAGTGGCTATCCCTGGGTGGAGGCATAAAGGACTTGAAACTCAATGCTGTTTCCACATAGGGCCGGGCAGACAGGCTATGGAGGTGTTTTGGCATCCAAGGAAATCTATCAGTTTCCCAAGCTTTCCCCTCTCCATTCATACTTTCCTTTAGAAAGAATAAGGCATGCCTGGGTGGGAAAGATACTGCAGGTAAGCGACAAGAAGGGGAAATTACAGGGTAAGGAGATCAATCAAATGGTGATGGGGGGTAGGAGTGAACAAAAAGAACTCTGGAGCAAACCAGGATTAGTGACATCTGTGGTTCCCAGACAAACCACACTTACAGGAATTTGTCTGTCTAGCCCGAATATTTTGACTTTCAGGGAGCATTTTTCTGTGTCCCTGACATAAAGCCTACCTGGGAGTTTCCCCTGAGATAAGAAACTTTCAGGACATCTTAAGGTCTACTGCATCTTCCTGTACTGCCCATCAAGATAAGTTTTCCACCCAGCTTTATCATGATTAGCTGCGTGATTTCATGTCAGTTTCTCTGTAAAATTAGGTTTGACTGTTGCATTATTTTTAAGATGCCTTCCAGGCTTAAAGTATTATGATGCATGGGTATAACTGTACTGAGGAAATCAAAGAATTTCTCAGATCATCTTCTTCTGTGAGGGCTGCAGCTTCCATGTAGTTGGGAGATACAGGAATTATTATTCCTGTTTTATGAATAAAGGACATTTGTGGGAGAGAAAGGAATCAGGCCAGAGTTCTTTCTCTCCAAATGCCTATTTTACCCTCTGTGAAATTTGAGAGATGGATGGGTGTGGAGCTGCAAGTCAGCCCCAGGATGAAAGAAAGGCAAATCTGCACAAGAAACTGCCCACTCTCACTCCATCCTCACTGCACCCTGCTCCCAACAGCTGCCAGGCAAGAAAAAATCCAAAACAGCAGTTCTGGGGAATTCATTGCCAGCACTGGAAACTACCTGCTGTTTCCAGGAATATGAAGGTTTCTCTTTCCTAGAATAGCAACTTTCCAAGGTAAGTCCCTCCCAACAACCAGTGATGTGTACAATGTTGCATTTTCAGTGGTGGGAGTGGGCAGGGAGGATTAAGATTAGTACGATGGTGGAGATATTTATTCATTTATTCAATTGACTATTTATTCTCCACTATGAATTAGGCCCTCGGCCAGGTAGCAGATATAAAGCTTAATAAGATATATGGCTTTCCGCCCAGGTGCTCATGGTCTAGTGGAAGGTCAAAAAAGGTGGGAAAGGGAAGATAGAACTTTAAAAGGGCTGTGAAAGAGGTAACCGCACAGTGATAGAAGCACATGGAGAGTTCCCCAGACTGACGACATAAGTAAGGCCTCCTGGAAGACCTGAACCCTGAGTTAAGTCTTGAACTTGAAAATCAGGGGCGAGTCGAGCAGAAAATGGGCAAGAAAACACCATATGCAAAGGCACAAAGGTGTTGGGGAAGGCAGAAGTTTGTCGTGGAGCTGGATACAACAGGAGAGGGTGAGACAGATGGGCTGGAACAGTGTGTGCTCTGAAAAGGATCTCTGCAGCAGGGCTTGAGAGCACCTGAAGGAATTTCCAGAAATGCCATCATCGTATGTGACACAGAATTTAGAAAAATGACTTTGTGAAGAATGGCCGGAAGAGGGAAGCTAATGGTAGAGAAACCTCTCTGGTGATGGGATCATCTTAAGTCTATGAGTGAAGACTATAACAACGGGACTGGAGAGAAGAGAATAGATTCTGAATTATTTAGAGCTAAGAGCAGCAGAGCTTTTCTTGATGGGATTATGGATTAGGGTTTATGGACCCAAGATGCAATATAATTGATTGGGTCAGGGTGTGGACTCTAGGGTCAGGCCTGTGTTCAAACTCCAACTCCACCACTACGACCACCTTGGGAAAGTCATTGAGCCTCTTTGAGCTTCAGTTTCCTCATCTGTAAAATGGGGATAATAACCAACCTCATAGGGTTGGGGATAATGATTAAAAACGATAATACATGAAAAACACTTAGCATAGCTCCTACTCCCATTAAAACTCTATAAATGGTAGCTGTTACCAATGTCGCTATTAATACTGTTAATCAGGGAACTGTTCTCTGTCCCTCCAGACCCTAGCTTCTTCAAAATAGCAGACACTGGTAGGAACAAGGAAGGATATAGGAAGGCAATCTCATGAATATTTATGTCATTTTTGGTTAATTTCTATCTCAAACAACAGATAAACGACTGATGGGACAGGCAGCAAAATAGCAACTATGGTTATCTCCAGGAAGTGAAACAATGGGTACTTTTACTTTTCTTCTTTGTACTTTTTTATATTGTCTAAATTTTCTATATGAATGTATACAGTTCATGTAAGAAGGAAAATATTTTAAAATATATGTATTATGCCACAAAATACTCCTCATCACCAGGCAAAGCTCTAGTCACCAGGGAATTAAGTTTCCTGGACACAGACAGCCCCCACCCCACCCCACCCCACCTCTCTACCCCACCAAAAGCACACAGTGTCCAAATCTCCATCGTGCCTGCAACTCAGGAACAGCTATCTGGCCGCACAGCTCTAGGGAAACTCAAAGCAGGAACAGCTCTGGGTCCTGGAGACGCCCCTGAGAAGAGGGCCCAGTATCCCTGGGGCCTCAGTCCATCAGCCGCTGCTGCACCAGGCGGGAATAGAGGTCCTGTCCCTCCTAGAGCTGGGCAAGCTTCTGCAGCTTGCCCTCCTGGAGCACCAGGATCTGGTGGGCGCGCTGAACTGTCTGCAGCCTGTGAGCAATCACCAGCACTGTGCGATCCCCACGGGAATTCCAGTCCTGCAGCTGAAGGGGTGATCACAGTGCCTCAGAAAGACAGGAATGAGATGGACACCACATCCACCTGGGCACCATCTCTTATGATTTAGGGTAAAGAAGGTGTGAAATAAAAGAAGGTAGGAAAGGGCAGTAGATAAAGGCCTGGACTGCCCTTCTCTCCCGGCTGTACTGCCACAGCTGGAGGAATGGAAGCCCAGGAGGGAACTGGGGCTGCCCTCACACCACCGGATTCCATTCCCCAACCCCAAGAAGGCACAGACTGTTTCCACTAGTAGGTCCTTCGTCCTCCCTCTGCCCAATTCTGCACAGTCTGATCCTCCCAGCATGCCCCTCCCAGGCCCCACTGTCCCCTGCCCTCTCACGGTACTCACGGCCTGCTCGCACTGCACATCTAGGGCACTAGTAGCCTCATCCAGGATGAGGACCCGCGGGTCTCGTACAAGGGCCCGGGCAATGGCCAGACGTTGTTTCTGTCCCGCAGCCAGCTGGCTTCCCTTCTCCCCTACATCTGAGGAAATCAGAGAAATTCCCTTCCTCAGATACAAGTGACACAGACAACACACAAGGAGGGACAAGTGCACAGCAGGTACTTCCAGTAGGACCTCGGGAGGTGGGAGGGCCCAGTGCGGGGAGGGCCCAGTGGGAGGAGGGCCATGGGGTGGGGACCTGACGGGGCTGCCCATGGAGGGAGCACCACTGCTGCATTGCTCTCTGCAAACAAAGACTCTTGATCAAGAGGGAGGCTGAAGAATTCAGTGTGTGGGGAAGGAGACGTAGGAATGGAGGAAAGGGCAGAGGAACAGCAAACATCAAGCTACAGGGACACGACCTTCACCACTAAGAGTAAGTCTGATTTTCTCTTTTTTACTGAAGGAGCAAGCTTACAATTTGTAGAAGATACCTGTGTATATTCCATGCTCCATTTCCTGGATGAAGTCATCTGCGTGGGCAGCCTGGGCAGCCGCCATCACCTTATCATCTTCGCAGCTCTGCAGCCCATAAGCAATGTTGTTCCTCACAGAACCGGAGAACAGCACAGGCTCCTGCCCAACTGAAACCACCTGTGCAGCAGGGACAGGGGCAGAGGACTATGTGTAAACCCCCAAGGCAGGGGCCCTTTTGTCCTCCCCACCTACCTCCCTCAGAATGAACACCTGGTGCGCCTTCCCGTGGATCTCCCATCCTCTCTCTGTACATGCTCCCCTCTCCTGTCCCCTGTCTTCTCCCTCCTCACCCACCTGGCTGTGCAGGTAGCAGTGTTCATACTGTGAGATGGGCTTTTCATCCAGCAGCACCTGTCCCCCTGTGGGCTGGTACAGATTCTGCAGCAGGGCAGCCACTGTGCTCTTCCCAGACCCATTGGGTCCCACCAGCGCCGTCACCTCACCAGGACGTAGGGTAAACGTCAGCCCCTAGAAAACCAGAAAAAGAGTTAAGGGCCTGCCCCTTCTCCCTCAAAATCCCTCCATTTCTCTTCTTAGCAGAGGCAAGACCAGGTTCTCAGAGGCAAATGAACTATAGGCTGTGATGTCCAATTATGCATTAGCAGCAGAGAGCAAGGGTCCAGGTTTCCTCCCTCTTTCAGGCACCTTGAGCACAGGCCTGTCAGGGCGATTGGGATATGCAAAGGAGACGTCTTGGAATTTCACAACCCCCTGCAGAGTGGTGGGGGCAAGCGTGCCAGGTGAAGGCAGATTTGGCTGTCGGTCCATGTAGGAGAAAACCTTCTCTGCAGCTCCCACGTTGCTGAGCATATCCCCATATATGTATACCAGGGTCTGGAAAACAGGAATGGGAGAGCCGGCTAATTAAACACACTTCTACCAGAAACCACCCTCCCAACTCCTCACACACTCCACTCACAACTGCACTGCTCCTCCTCCATACTCAAAAGAGATTCTCCACTTTTAAATGTACAATTTGGACGGAATTTAAAAGTGGCACCAATACCCCAGTGTTCCAATTTGCAATATAAAGGATATACAGTCCCTTCTCCTACCATACAGCATTGCCTCTAGCCCCAGATCTTTTCAGTTACTGCTTCCTATTACTTGTGCCCAGTTCTGTCTTGCTTGATTAGACGGGGAGCTCCTTAAATGCAGGCACTGTGCCCAACTCACCTTTGTAGCCGTCAGAGTGCCCAGCGCAGTTCTCTACACAAAAAAGATGTTTATCAAGTGTCTAGGAAAATGTTTAAATAAAGCCCTGGATGAAGTAGCTGTTTTTGAGAACTGGTAAATGTAGGAAGAGATCTAAATGCTCACTCTGCCTTTCCTCATCAAACTGTACCACCGGGTAATGAAATGGTAGATGAGGGGAAGTCTCCCTTCATAGACTACTTCAGCTAATACATGAAGAATGATAGAGTATCTCCCTTTTGCAGCCCTAATTCTGTCATGGATGTAGGTACTGCTCATCAGTGGCTGATGTTGCCACAAATAGAGAACCAGACATTGTGTGCCTCTTGGAGGAAGAATGCATCACCACCTAAAAAGTACTGTTGCTGGAAAAAGACCAAAAAAAACCCCTCAATCTCACAAGCTTCTAGGTTTATCTATCAATAGACAGGAAGTACAGAGGCAGAAGAGCATATAATACCACAGGGATTCAGTCAACAAAATCCAGACCCTAAGAAACTCCACAGGACAAACAACCTATTTCTTCAACAAATAAACTGTGCAAGGGAAACTTTTAGACAGATACATGGATTGATGGGTGGATGGATGGATAGATGGATGGATAGATAGATAGACAGACAGACTTAAAAGATGTATCAACCAGTCACAATATGTGGACCATTTCTGGATCCTGATTTAAGCAAAGTATAATAAACACACTCATACACATATACTACATGGATACCACAAGTGGAAATTTGACAATTGACTATTTGATAAATTTTAAGAACTACTGTTAATTTTTTGGTGTGATAATGGCTTTGTTGTTATACACTTTTAAAGATGTTTGTATTTTTAAGAAACATACTGAAATATTTACAGATGAAAGTATACAATATCTTGGATTTGCTTCAGAATAATATGGGTGGGGGGAAGTGGCTGGGGATACAGATCCAACAAGATTGGGCATGAGTTGATCATTGTTAAAGCACAGGATGTATACATGTGAGTTTGTAATATTATTTTGTCTCATTTTTGGCATATGTTTAAAATTCTCCATAGCAAAATTACTTGCGGGTTTTGGTTTTGTATTGTATTGTTAAAAAGAACAAATAAAGCCCAAGGCCCAGGAGTCCACAAAGAAAAAGAGAGGGAAAAAAGGAGAGCAGGCTTGGCTTCTCGCTCACCTGCACATAGCTCCCCACGCTCTCCTGGTAGATCATAAAGGAAAGCAGGCTGCCCTGGGTGAGCTCCCCATCCTGCATCTGCTGCAGCCCACAGCTCAGCATCAGCATCTGCACCCCCAAGTGCAGCACCTGGAAGAGGAGAAGAAAGAGATGAGGCTGGGAATCTTCCCATTCTTTCCCCCTCTCTGCCTCTATGAGACTGAGCTGCAAAGGCCTCTAGAACCAGCTGTAGTTTCCTCTTCCCTTGCCCTCCCCCTTTCCTGGGCTCCTTTCACAACCACTCTGGTATCTTACCCTCCTTACGAGCAGGTACAAGGCGCGTTCCAGGTCTCTCCGCCAATACAGCTGCCGACATTGTTCAAGGGCCTCTTTATAGCGACAGACTTCATGCTCCTCGGCCCCAAAACTGCGAACGGTCTGCAGCCCTCCAACGGCTTCCCGCACCACCTGCCCCGCCCTGGCCACTGCATCCTGGATCTCCCGAAGCACTTCCTGGAAAAGAGGGCCAGCAAACACCAGGGCTGATGTGCAAAGACAGCAGGCCCCCACATCTTACTCCAGCCAGTGAGATGCTCCCTAGTCTACCTAAAAATACCAAACTGTTTCTCTCCCTCTTCCTTACTCTTCTTTCCAGAAGGAATAAGAGTGAAGGAGCAAGGGAACAAAATATTATTGAGCTCTCAGTGTTAGGTAGTATAGGAGATACATGCAATTTTTTTAACCTTCATTTGAGGTAATTTTCCCATCCCCAGTGTCTGAATCAGGAAAGAAGGGTAGTTTTCCCAAGGAGCCACAGATAGTTAAGAAAGGTGGAGATGTAATTCCAAATGGATCAGAGGCCTAAACATAAGAGCTAACACTATAAAACTCCTAGGAAAATGTAGAAGAAAAGCCTCATGCCACTAGATTTGGCAGTGATTTCTTGGATATAACACCAAACGCACAGGCAACAAAAAATAGATAAATCAGACTTCATCAGAATTTAAAACGTTTGTGCATCAAAGAACTCTAGCAACAGAGTGAAAAAGCAACCATGAAATACAAGAAAATATTTGTGAATCATATATCTGATAGGAAATTAATAGGCAAAACATATAGTGAACTCCCACAACTTAAAAAAAAATCAGAAAATGGGCAAAGAACTTGCAGACATTCTTTCAAGAAAGAAACATAAGTGGCCAAAATCACACGAAAAGATGCTCAATATTTACTAATCATTAGGGAAATGCAAATCAAAACCACAATGAGATAATCCTAATCACCTAATCACCATTAGAATGGCTATTAAAAAAAAAGACAACAGAAAGTGGTGTTGATGAGGATGTGGAGAAATTGGAAACCTTATGCACTGCTGGTGGGAATTTAAAATGGTGCTGCCGCTATGGAAAACTGTATGGTGGTTTGATACGATCTGGCTGTGTCCCTACCCATATCTGATCTTGAATTCCCATGTGTTGTGGGAGGGACTGGGTAGGAGGTAATTGAATCATGAGGGCAAGTCTTTCCCATGCTGTTCTTGTGATATTGAATAAGTCTCACGAGATATAATGGTTTTAAAAAGGGGAATTCCCCTGCACAAGCTGTCTTTTCTCTTGTCTGCTGCCATGTGAAATGTGTCTTTCACCTTCCGCCATGATTTGAGGTCTTCCCAGCCACATGGAACTGTAAGTCCAATAAACCTCTTTCTTTTGTAAATTGCCCAATCTTGGGTATGTCTTTATCAGCAGCGTAAAAATGGACTAATACATGGTTCCTCAAAAATTGTTAAATAGAATTGCCATATGATCCAGCAGCTCCACTTCTAAGTATATACCCAAAAGAACCAAAAGCAGGGTTTCAAACAGGTGTACACTCATGTCCACAGCAGCATAATTCACAACAGCCAAAAGGTGGAAACAACGCAAATGTCCATTGACAGATGAATGGATAATCAAAATGTGATATATGCACACAACAGAATATTATTCAGCCTTAAAAGGGAGGAAATTCTAACACATGCTACAATATGGATGAGGCCTGAAGACATTACGCTAAGTAAAATATGCCAGTCACAAAAAGACAAATACTGTATGGTTCCACTTACGTACCGCACCGGGAGTCATCACAATTCATGGAGACAGAAGGTACAATGGAGGTTGCCAGCGGCCAGGGGTTGGGGGTAGTAGGCAGTTACTATTTAGTGGGTACAGAGTTTCATTTTAGGAAGATGAAAAAAGTTCTGGAGATGGATGGTGATGATGGCTACCCAATAACAATGTGGGTTTCCTAAATGTCACTGAACTGTACACTTCAAATGGTTGAAATGGTAAATTTTATGTTATGTATGTTTTACCACAATATAAGAGAAAAAGAGAAGGTGGAGCTGACATTCAGACTTAGGACTTCCTGATGACGCCTCCTTTCCCTATGCTGCATCCAGACTTCTTCTGCTGATTTTAAAGGGAAAATCTCCCTGCCTAAAAGCCTCTAAGAAACCATTTTTAATCTTCGCAGTGGGGGCGGGGGATGTACAGACTCCTTTGAGAAGCTAATGAAAAGTTATCATCGCCTATCATCTCCCCTTCCTATTCCCTCCCCCATACCTTCACATACACTTTACATTTTTGTTTACAGTTCTGGAGAATCATGAATCTTCTGAAGTCAAATATCCATTGTTGGATGGCTGGACAAACAAAATGTAGTATATACTACAATATACCTTCTCCCCTAATGGCTGAGAAGAGAACATCTCTCTCTAGGGGATCCTCTAGCCACAAATGTGGAAGCCTCCTCACCTGTCAGTTTTATTCTCCCTTTGGGGTTCCCTTACATGCACGCTCACCTGATGGCGGGTGTTGTACACCTTCTCCGCTGCTATTGTGAAGGGCATGTGCAGCAGAGAAAGGAGGGTGAGTCGAGGCGATATGCTGAGCATGAAGCCATACAGCCCCACCACTTTCACCAGGCTTCGCAAGAGCACATTGGCATTTAAAGGAAGCCAGTTACTCATCAGGGTGGTATCCGAGCTCAGCCGTGAGTTCAGCTCCCCTAAGAAGGACAGAGCAGGTGAGGAAAAAGGAAACCATGTGTACTGCAGGGCCCCCAGAAACTCCCTCCTGACCGTTCCCTCTGACACAGCCCCCTCCTCTGAACATCCTCCTTCACTTGCAGAGGGACAGTGGAGGCTGCTTCTCCACCCTGTCCCAAACAAGAGAAAAGCATCCCCAGGTCCTGGCATACGGGTGAAGGCAGGAGGAGAGGCTGTGGGTGGAAGGTCACTGAGGGGCAAGGGATGTCCATGGGAATCTCAGACCTGGACTCCAGGCCCCACCTGTCTTAGTCTCCTGGAAGAAACCGAGGTCCTGGCGCAGCAGGGAGGAGAAAAGCTGCTCCCGGATCCGCAAGTTGATTCGAGACATGGTGTAGGTGAAGCAGCCTCCTCGGCAGCCTGCAGACAGTGAGCTGTGGGGTAGGAGAATAAGAGGGGAGGGAGATGCAGAGAAGGAGCAAGCCAGCGGGTGAAACAGAGGAGCAAGCCAGGAGTGCAGAGAAGCGCAAAGTCAGGGGAAAGCATGCCAGGAGGGGCAAAAGAGAAAGAAATGAGAGACAGACACACAGAGAGAGAAGAGGTAAGGAATACACAGAGGAAGAAGAAAGAGGAGACATGGTGAGCTAGATGTGAGAACAAAATCATAACATGTACAAATTTACAAGTATTTATGGAGTGCACTCTGTACTAGACACAATAGAAAACTACAATAGAAGGGAAAAGATATTGTGAAAACAAGTATCCCAGTGCTTGCTTCTGTCCCAGCGTCCCTCAGGCTTGTCCCTCTGTGCGTCTCCTCCGCCTTGGTCTCCTTCCTGCCCCATACCCAAAGCCCTTCTCTGTCATCATAGATACTTCATCATGGGAACTGCAATAATAAATTCCCTGCCCCCACAATTCTCTGGAGCCCCAGAGTCATGTGATTCCCATCTGTCATCCTTCGAGTTGGAAAATCCCTCTTAGACCAACTACATGCTACAGTAACACTTAGAGGAAAAAATATAAAGCATAAAAGCATGTATTTTACAAAATATATGTTTCTAATACAAATTTAGTTACCATATTGAAGAGGCGTTTGGAATAGTCAGACATGATATAATGAGGGTTTGTACTTTAATGACAGGGATGTGTTCTGAGAAATGTGTCGTTAGATGGTTTCATCGTTGTATGAACATCATAGAGTGTACTTACACAAACCTAGATGTCATAGCCTACTGCACACCTAGGCCATGTAGTTTAGCCTATTGCTCCTAGGCTACAAATCTGTACAACATATGACTGCACCTAACACTGTGGGCGACTGTAACACAGAAGTAAGTATTTGTGTATCTAAACATAGAAAAGGTACAGTAAAAATATGGTATTATAATCTTGTGGGTCCACCATCTTATATGTGGCCCATCATTGACCTAAACATCGTTATGCAGTGCACGACTGTAGTTTCAGCAGAAAGCAGCCAGGATGGAATGAAGGCACAATGAAATGGTTTTCGAGGGTACTCTAAATTAAGTATGACCATAAAAATAGAGACAATCAGGCCGGCTGGGATTTGGGTAAGGTGAGTGCACACCTCCTTAAACTTTGCACCCCAGGTGCCTCGCTCACCTCATCCCAGTCCCAGCCTTATCAAACAGTTTGTTTGTTTGAGTATGTCTAGAAAGAGAAAGGAAAGCAAGTGAAGGGAAAAGAGTAATGATTCTGGAAAGAAAGGTGATAAGCCTCAGAGTAAGATCTTCAGGGATTAGCAAGATGAGCTGGGAAAGAAGAGTGAGAGGGAGAAGCATACCCATCCTGAGAGAGTGACCCTGGAGAGATACTTTGGAGACAGACTTAGGGGTAGGAGGTAGGAGGCAGAAAGAAATGGAATTTCATGGACCTAGGAATGTTGAGAGACAACTGAGAGACATTCCATCTGAGACTTAAATTCCTTTTGTACTACCTTCACTCATAACTTGTTCCTATAATAAGATCAGATAAACTTTGAAGATATTGGATGAATATGAACGAAGGAAGAAATGAATGGATAGATGAAACAGAATGGTGACTACATTCACCATATTTTAGTTTAAGTATTTTTGTGTTTTGCGCCTGAAAGGGCCTAGAAATGGAGTTAGGGAAGTGAAGACCCCTATAAAGATTTGGGGCTAGCAAATGGACCCAGCTGCCCACCACCTACCTGCCAAAGGAGAAGAGGCACATGAAGAAGATGGCACTGGCAAAGGCATGGGGGTCAAAATCACCTCCCAGGATGTCAATCACACGACCAGAATAGTGAGGGATTAATGTCTCACCTGAAAGAGGCATGAAAAATAACACAAGAATGTGCTGGTGCCCAGGCCCTTTTACCACCTCCAACTCACAACGTCCTCTCCTGACTCACCCAAAACAGCAAGGACAAGGAAGAAGAAGGCGGCAACGAGGAGAGGCAGGTCCGGCCTGGAGAGCTTCAGCAGCCTCCACATCAAGACTTTGTTGTTCACCTGGTCCTGCTCCTTCTCCTGGGCTCCAGGAGGGCTCAGAACAGCCCACAGTGACCAGCTGAGCCCCGCAGCCCCGTACCCCACCAGCAGCCAGCTCCAAGGGGCTGAAGCGACTCTGGCTGGGGGAGCACGTGAGGCCCCCGCGACCAGGGCTCTCAGGGAGACAGTCAGGGGGGTGGCCAGACAGAGCGGGAGCAGCAGTGTCCCCACAAATCCCAGCAGCCCTCTTAGCTTTAGCAGCCCCCACAGCCCTCCCAGCCGCAGGGTCCCCTCCAGCCATAGTCCTGGCAGCCCTTGAGGAAGCAAAGTCCCCAGAGGGCCCTGAAGCAGCCACAGTAAAGCCGCGTCCACCAGCAGCAGGGAGGTCCAGGGTCTCAGGTCAGGGAGCCGCATGGCTCTGTCAACGGATACGAGATGAGAAATCATGGGGGTGGAGTCCCAATCCTTGTCCCTGCCCTCCTACCCGCCCGGCTCCGCCTAACCCGTCCATCGGCTTCTCATTTTATCCTATTCAACCCTGAGAGCTCTCCTGAGTAACCGGTGCTCATCCGTACACCCCTCCTACGACAGACAGCTTTCGGCCTTCTGGGGAGCTGGAAGCATGACCATCAGGAGCCTCGTGCTTAAAAAAAAAAAAAAAAAAAATCCCCGGACCCCCACCCCCACCCCCGCCTGCCGCGGCGAGCTAAGTGGTCCGGGCTCCGCTCCCTCCTATCGCCGGGTGCAGAGGGACTGGGAAGCAGGAGCGTGGAGTGGGTAGTCACTTGGGCTGCGTCCCTGTTGGCGCTCCAGGTTCCCCTCCGCACCAACTCACCAGCCGCGGCGGGGAGACCGCAGCTCCGGGGACTTCTGCTTCAGCGCTGAGGTCCGCTCCGTCTCTCCCAACCTCGCTACCGGCTCTGGTCCGCCAGCTACGCTCGGCCAGGGCGGGCGTCAGGGCTCGGGCAGCTTTCGCTTTCGCTTCCCCAGCCAAGGCCTTCATTCTGGGCTGGGCCGCCGGGAGGGGGCGCGCGAGACCCGCAGACAGCGGAACTGGAGCCCGAACTCTGGTTCGCACTGTACAGGCCTGCAATGAGTCTCACTCGCCTTTAGTGGCGGTTACTCTGGGATATAAAACTGCAAAAATGTTTCTTTATCATTAAGTAAAATACAGTTGTCTCAAGGGCAACTTTATCTGTTGTCCTTGCTTTGTAATTGGAGAATGCTTTGTAATTGGAGAATCACTGAATTTTCTCAAAGTTACTACTTCAAGCTCTGAGCCTACTATTAAGAAGTGCCTTCTTTCTGGTCCGGCGCGGTGGCTCACGCCTGTAATCACAGCACTTTGGGAGGCCGAGGCGGGCGGATCGCCTGAGGTCAGGGGTTCGAGACCAGCCTGGCCAACATGGTGAAACCCTGTCTCTACTAAAAATACAAAAATTAGCCAGGGCGTGGTGGCGGACGCCTGTAATCCCAGCTACTCGGGAGGCTGAGGCAGGGGAATCGCTTGAACTCAGGAGGCAGAGGTTTCAGTGAGCCGAGATCGGGTCATTGCACTCCAGCCTGGGCGACAAGAGTGAGACTTCGTCTAAAAAAAAAAAAGTGCCCTCTTCCATGCAAGCTCCAGTTTTAGGCGAGCGAGCCGGGCTCTCCTAAATAGAAGGTTCCAACCAATCTCACCAGGCCAAAGGGGATTTTCACGTACAGACTTTGAATTTAGTAGGCCCTGAGCGTTCATCTTCATCCGTCCTTCTCAGCCGGAGCACCTTGAGCTGGCGCGTGTTCAGGTGCCTCTGAGTCTGTACTCCAAATTATGTTGGGCGCACCTTCAGCCTATGAGGGAAATGCCCCGTACTGAGCTTTGGTTCTTGTTCTATTTTAACACTGTTTAGAACAGTAATTAGGTTTTTAAATATCCTTCCTGACCCAGAGCCTTCCTATGCAACAGAAAGATTCGTTTATTCCAGAAAGGACTCTTCAGATTGAAACCACCTCCCAAACTAAAAACAAACAAACAAACAAATTCCCCAAAGGAAGGGTCGCTTGGATTCCAGATCACCATTTTGAAATGTTACCTGTGTGACTACCAAGGAGTCACTTAAAGTTTAAAATAGTGGTGGTGGGGAGGAGGGATTTTAAGTAGGGGCTCGCTAAAGTTTTACAACTCTATTCATTCTGGCATTTTAAGAATCTCTCTCTAATGAAAAAAGCTCCATGCTCAAGCTCATGCTCCTACTTTCAAGCATTTGTTTCCTTTATTTTCTGGAAAGTGACATGGTCCATAGTTCCAGCATGATTCCGAAAATCTCATGATGTGTGTCTCTTTCTTCTAACCTGGATCTTTTACATTTTCCCCACACTCCTCACTTAGGGGAGTCCTCCTGATCTCTTCTTCCTCTAAAATTATAGTCCTGCCATCTTGCAATTCAGCATGACACATCATGAAATTAGACCCTTAATGTCTGTCTTTATATTCAATATCCAATATCTCCAAAGTGTTATTTGGGATAAATGGTATGGTGTTTATATGATTACCATATTAAAGTGAAGTGGAAGCTTTTTCATCCTACTCTATAAAGTCAAAAACAGTTATCCTAGGTGCCCTACTCCCTGTTCCTCAAACCATTAACAATGGAACACACAGGAGTCCCCAGGTGCCTCTCTATGGAAAGGACCCTAACCTATGTGAAATTGCAAACAAGTGTCCATGGACAGCAATGAGCAGCCTTCCTGAGGTCTTGGAGAGATGAGTGTGGAAGGAAACCCCAGGAAGAACTATGTGGTGAGGCCACATTTCTTAGATAGGGGTCTGAGCCCCTTCTCCAGAAAAAGCGTCTCTTTACTTTCTGCCCCACCCAACAACCACAGGCCCAACCCCATTCAGCCACAAGACAGAGGTATTTATAACCGTTTTTCTTTATTCTACTTAGTGGGGCACCCAGAAACTTCCCTGGGGGAAATGCTTGTTCAAATAGAGAACACGCAGAAGATGCACTTCACCGGCCTCCTCTGGCTGCTGAGCCCGTACTCTCTCTTTGGCTCAGGCTAGGCCTCTTCTTCTCCTTGGACTTAACGTGGCTTAGGTCCCTGAGTCGGCCAAGACCTCCCAGAGGAGACCTGCCCAGCTGCCACCACCACCATTATTGATTGGCTTCCCGGTACTGGTGCAGCAGGTCACTGACATCTGTACTTTCTACTTTCACCCAACCATCTTCCTTCATGTGGTACACTGTGGACAAATGAGAAAAGAACATGGAGTCACCTTTCACCTCAGCAAGTTCCTGTCACTGATGTTATGTTGAAGGCAGCAACAAGACACATGCGCAAGCTTAAAACCATATGACTGGGCCTTTAATGCCCTTCTTCTGACTCTGAAAATTTCCTCCCTACTACTCTCCCTCCTTTGAGTCTCTCAATCATTTTCTTTTTTTTCTTTTGAGAAGGAGTCTCACTCTGTGGCCCAGACTGGAATGCAGTGGCGCCATCTTGGCTCACTGCAAGCTCCACCTCCCAGGTTCAAGTGATTCTCCTGCCTCAGCCTCCCAAGTAGCTGGGACTACAGGCACCCGTCACCACGTCCGGCTAATTTTTGTAGTTTTAGTAGAGACGGGGTTTCGCCATGTTGGCCAGGCTGGTTTCTCAATCTTAAATCACCCCCCCCACCACCCGCCGACTCCTCCCAGGCATGGTGGTGGGAGCATTGGTCTCTTACTATTGACAACGCCTCCAGAATAGCTGTCTCTGTGAGTGGCATAAGCAATAGCCCTGCGGCCAAGGTCATAGGCCTCTTCAGGGCTAAGATTAGGCCGATAGCCACTGTCCATGACCCCGTAGGCATAAGTGTTCCCACTACCCGTGGAGAACATATTTCCTGAGAGCCGAGTCCCATGTTCATCCACGTAGTAGAGTCCAGGACCCTATAAGATGAAAGATTTCAGGCTGAAATTGGAGAGGAAGATGTTGGTAACATGGGGGTTCAAATATGAGACATAAAAAGTGAACAAAAGAATTAATATTACCACAAGAACATTGGAATTAGGAAACCACTTTGGTAAAGTCATCGAACTTTAGAAATGAAAAAGGAAAAACAAACTTGAAATCAACTGTTTAACAAAAGGGACAAGCTTACAAAACACATGCAATGATTCATATCTGGGCCAATAAATAGTCCATGGATATACTGAAACAGTTCTATAACCAAGCACTCTATATGCCATGCATCTTGTCAGGGAGGGAGTAGGAGTATATGATGGGAAACAGATCTGTCATCCATAGGGAACATGGTGGGGGAACATGAAGAATGGAGAGCACCCACCTTCTTATCCCAGCCACAGATCATACTGCCCATAGAGAGGCCCATGCCCCGGTACTGGCACATCATGTTGGACAGCAGCTTGGAGGCTGCCGACACTGAAATACGTTCTCCATTTCGCAGATAGTACAGCCTGGGTGAGGACAAGGTGGAGTGAGGAAAGAGAGGTTAGCTCTTTCCAACTTGATGGGGCAGGAAATGATTAAAGAGATAAGCATTGGAAAGGAATTATTTTGTAGGATCTAAAGATCAGAGAAAGATTTGGAATTTAAAGTATCTGAAACATACAAAGGCAGCCTAGTAAATGATACTGTCCCGCCAGGGTGGATGTGTCAGTGCTAAATACCTGACGTACTATCTGGCTTATGAGTGGAGCACAGGCTGAGATTTGGGAGAAGGGTCTTATCACCAAAAAGCTGTTTTGTGAAATATACTATTAGCACTAAGATGGACCACATAGGACAAGAGTAAGGAGCAATGATCTGAGAGATCCAGGGATTAACCACTAGGCTAAGAAAGGAAGATGAGAGGCCTCGCTTACCTGCATTCCTTGGCCAGCAGGCGCTCCCAGTACTGACAGTCTGCTGCACAGCCAGACATGGTGCCAAGCAGGTAAGGGTTAATCTCAATCACCTTGTTCACCCGTAAGGCACCTGGAAGAAGATGGAGCTTTGGGAGAGAAGGGATGACCCCATAGATCCCCCAGTGTGTCCTAAATCAATATCCACTTCCACTTTGTTGCAGAGTTGGCCTCCTGTGGAAAGGAGAGCCCAGCTCCCCAGATTCTGCCTGCTGGAGCGTATACACTCACTAATGTAGGACCCAGCTGAGGCCCGAGAATCCACTGCTGCAATCACTCCATGCTGGAACTTGAAGGCGAGCGTGGTGGTGCCATGGGCCATCTCAATCTGAACGTTCCTTTCTCCGTCCCCACCCAGGGACTGGAAGAATTCTGTGGGCTGATAAGAGAAAAGAGGTTGAGAAAGGCAATGAAAAATTCTGTAGTAAGAGGCTCCAGGAAAAGGTTTTAGGGAGTATGAGGGTGAGGAGATATGCAGAAATGATCTAACCATCAATAAATGAAACAGTTAATAACCAATCTCTAGAAGGAAATGGCTTGGGAGAAGGAAAAGAAGAGGCATGCCAGTATCAACCTTTTCCATTTTCCAGCACAACAGAAATGAAAGCAAGCACATGTTACCATTACTAAAAAATTTTGAGAGTGACTTAAAGGGTTTCTTCCATGCATAAAGCATTCAACCCTCACAAAACACGTTTAGTAACAGTATCCTCACTTTACAGAAGAGGGGCTTGGGACCTAGACTAAGTGACTTGTTCTAAGTCGCGCAACAGTGAGTTGCTGAGAGGAGGCCAGCAGGCAAATTTCATAGGTTTCCCAAGACACCACACACCTCCTATATCATGTGATAACCCCATGAAAAAGGCTCCACCATTTGTGTGTGGACAAGGGCAGGAAAGTTCTCTTGTCTTCCTTTGGGAGCCCCCACCTCACCTGTAACTCTTTGTCCTAACTTGCACTTCCTCCTCTCAGGCCCCATCCCCATGTGGCCTCTTCTTTGGGTCTGGCGCTCTCCGGGACTGAAGGCTACCCCCGACCCTGTACCCCGCGCTCCCGCTCTCGCCTCCTCCTCTCAGGCGACCCTCCACTCCTCAGCGCCCGCCTCCCTGCATCCCTAGGGGCTTCCCTACTGCCCCGACCTGCATTCCCCGGGGTAAAGCGAGCTCTGGAGATCGCATAGAGAAACTGTAGTGTCCTGGGTCCGAGCGACGCCCGCTTCCCGCAACCGGGAGAGCCGATTCCGGCCGCTGCCCTCGGGGGGCTCCGCATACATCTAGTAGCGCCATGACCGCCCAGCACCCAGAGATCTGTCCGCTCTCGGAGGAGGAAGTGAAAGCGAAAGCCACAGATCGAAGGGGAGGGAACAAGACTCTTTTCCACATCCCCCTGCCTTTTCCGAGAAAAGGACAGTTAGTGCCTGGACCAGGACCATCACACTGGGGACCGGCTTCTCTGCTCTCCCGTTATGGGGGTCGGGGGAATGATGGGTCAAGGGTCTTCCGAAGAAAGCGAGAAAGGAACAGGCGCCTTCAAAAGCCCACTTGGCGATGGGTTACAGTAAGAGGTACCTCCAGGCCCGGGCATCCGCTGGAAACAGGGGTGGGTAGGGTCGTGTCATCTAAAGGCGCAGCTTCAACCAGAAGACTAGAAGTCAGCCAGGAGCTGGGAGTAGTGTCACGCGGGGTGGGGGTTCCTATGAGCATCACTTTACAAAACCAGGAGGGACGGAAGTGCGAGGGGGCAGAGTCTTGGAAACAGGTCCTGGGCCAACTGCAACAGAATATACCCGCCGCGTGTAGGGGAAGGCGGCGCCAGGGAGAGGGCGCAGTCTCTGAATCTTTCCACGGGGTCCATCCTAGGGCCCCTCCAGGTTCAACGGTCTCCTAACCTGTAGTCACCCACAAGAGCGTGCCCTTTCTGCCCGCCCTTCCTAGCGTTGCTCCCTGCTTGGCTGAGCACTGCGGAGTTTCACGCCTCTAAACCCCGCCTCTTCTTGCAACCTGTGTTGGCCTCATCTACCCAGCAACTGTCGACGTCACACGACCTGGGCCTCCCTGAATGGGAGATATTTACTAGGCAATCCCGCCTACTGTTCTGAGGTTTCCCCTCCAGGTGCAGCTTCAGAGCCAGGCGAGCCAGGAAGGACCAGCGGGCGAGGTGGTGAGTTGTGAGGCGCGCCCAGTCCCTCTGTTCCCGCCTGGCACTTGCTCTGGCCGCGCCCGCCCCATCTGCCACTTCGGAGAGGCCACGGCTCTGAGCTGCGGCCGCTAGTGCCCTGATGGGCCCTGTGGCTGGGGTCTTGCACATTCTTGGGGGTGGGCCTAAGGGGATAGGGGAAGTGGAAGGGGCCTCATAGGAATTAAAAAGCTTAAGGGAAAAGGTGATGCAGTTAGGGGGTAAAACATTGAGGATGATAAAAGAGGAGACATCCGCAGCTGAAAAGTGCGCTGCAAAAGGCAGTGGGCCGTTTGGTGTGCCGGAAACATAAGAAACCACAGTACAAAACACCAATTTTATTATAAATATCAAGAACCTACAGGGTGTTTATGGGCCAGCATATGCCTTCAGTTATGTTGAAAATAGCTGATCATCTTTCCGTACATTCTGAACATTTCTCAGTTTCAGAGTGCTGGCCACACCAAAGCATCAGCCCTGGCTCTAAACTCCGTTACAGTAAGGAATTACAAATCCTGTGTTTGTACTCCAGGAAGTCTGCATTATCACGAGGAGCTTGGAAAGGAGGTAACACACTCAAGGCAAATTTCAAGTAACTCATCCTGGAGGCAGCTGCCTACTCTGCAGCTGTGGTTCTCCACCACAGAGAGAAGAAAAGGGAGGGAGATGGAGTGCGCAGGTCTGAGAAGGCTTTCATTCTGGAGCATCTGCAGGAGCCTGCACCATGGCCCAGTAGCACCCCTTTTTCTCCATGAGCTGCTGGTGGGTTCCCCCCTCCCGGATAGCGCCTCCTTCCAGAAAGAGGATGTGGTCAGCCTGCTCCACCAGGCTGAGGTGCTGGGTGATGAGAAGCACTGAGCGGGAGTACCGCTCAGGGCTTTCGTACAGGAGCTGCTCCACCTGAGGAAAGACATCGGACCGTCAGAGCCGGGGACTACCCTCAGCCCAGGGAGACACCTGTGTTTCCAGGGCTGGGACTGACCTCACAGGATCACTGCTGGCTCTGCTAACAACCCCAAGGACACCAACGTTTCCCATTCTGAGTACTTCTCCGCAAACCCTTTGTTTCATTAAGGACTGTTTTACATGAAGGGTGCAAAAGTAGGATAAAAATGAGAACCCTAGGGTGAAACACGTGACAGAAGAATAAAGACTATTGAATAGTCCTCTTCTCTACCCATGGACTTGGCATTTTTATATTCGATTTTAAGGAAATATAACTTAGTAGTAAAGAGATGAGCATTCAAGTCAGGCAGACCTGAATTTGGGTCAAGGCTGCGCCACTCAAAAGCTATATGACCTCTATATGAGCAGCTTATTCAACCTCTTTTAACCTCCATTTTGTCATCTGTAGAATGATGATAAATGCCTAGCTCAGAAGGATTCCTAATGAATAAATGAGTGACAGTGCATGTAAACAGACTAGCTTAATTAATATTAATATGATTAGGATGGGCTGGGCCCGGTGGCTCATGCCTATAATCCTAGCACTTTGGGAGGTCAAGGAGGGAGGATCACTTGGGCCCAGGAGTTCAAGGCCAGCCTGGGCAACATAGCGGGACGCTGTCTGTACAAAAAATAATTTTTTTAAATAAACGATATTATGAGGATGGTCTTTTCCTTATGTTTCGCTTTAGAAATTCAGTCTATAGGACTGGGCGCAGTGGCTCACACCTATAACCCCAGCCCTTTGGGAGGCTGAGGGGGGCAGATTACCTGAGCTCAGGAATTCAAGGCCAGCCTGGGCAACATGGTGAAACCCATCTCTACTAAAAATATAAAAGTCAACCAGGCATAGTGGTGTACACCTGTAGTCCCAGCTACTCGGGAGGCTGAGGGGAGAATCGCTTGAGCCCAGCAGGTTGAAGCTGCAGTGAGCCAAGATTGTGCCACTGCGCTCCAGCCTGGGCAACTGAGTGAGACACTGTCTTAAAAAAAAAAAAGGAAAGAAAGAAAGAAATTCAGTCTGTAGTTTGTAGATAGTCTCTTTTAACTGATTCTAGGTGTCTTTGCCTCGTCTTCTATCTCTACTCCTTGGGGAGGCATCCAATGGAACTGGATTTGGGAACTGAGAACTGCAAGGACTGGTTTGTATAATTATGATGTTAGTAAAACTAACAGAAGATGTATAAAAGAAGCAAGATTGGGTGGGATATAGCCATTAAGAAGATGACTGCCTCACCTGTAACTGGCTGTTTGCATCCAGGGCACTGGTGGCATCATCCAGGATAAGTACACACGGTTTCCGGATCAATGCTCGGGCCAACGCCACTGCCTGTCGCTGACCCCCTGACAGCTGGCTCCCAGCCTCGTCTACCTCTGCAGAGCAAAGGGCCAAGATGAGAACGGTATAGCCACATGTGTGCACGCATGTACATGCACACAGACACACTCATGCATTCACGCACTCACACACACCAAGATCTGACGGTTGTAGCTGGATAGGGGAGATTCTGGGAAGATGAACAGAATCCTGAGGATGTCAGGATGAAGAAGCCATAGGAGCATGATCTTACAACTTCAAATTGATGTCCATGAGTAAGGAGGAACTGAAGGATAAAGGCAAGACTACTGGGGTTTCAGCAAAGGTAAAGATGGCTGGGTGGTGAGATGAGTGGAGAGAGTACCTGTGTCATAGCCCTGAGGGAGTCCAGAGATGAAACTATGGGCCCCAGACTTTACTGCAGCAGCTGTGATTTCCTCCATAGTTGGCTTCTGGGTCAGGCCATAGGCAATATTTTCTTGAAGACTTCTTCCAAATACCTGTGGCTCTTGTCCCACTGCAGCCACCTGAGATGAAATATGATGAAGAGTCATAGAACAAGGCACATGGGAGTATGGTTATCTAGAGATCGAAGACTCAAAATCTTTATTGAGAACATGTCACAAAATCATACTACCTCCCTCCTGACTACACCACCATCTCCACCCAAGGTCTCTTATCATTCCCTAACCCCTCTTTCAGAGTGCTCAGTAAGAATGCTCTTCGTATTTGATGCTCCCTGCCCTCCTTCAAGCCACCTGCTTCCATACCTGCCTGTGCAGGTAGCGGTGCTCATATTGGGGAAGGGGCTTCCCATCCAACAGCAGCTGTCCCCCGGTGGGCTGGTACAGATTCTGCAGCAGGGCAGCCACTGTGCTCTTCCCAGACCCATTGGGTCCCACCAGCGCCGTCACCTCGCCAGGGCGTAGGGTGAATGTCAGCCCCTAGAGGCCAGAGAAGCACACGATAAGAGGCTACCAAGGCCTCTAACCTTGAGAGTGTCATTGCCTTGTTACATAGCATGATGTCTTACCCCAGAAGAAAAACAGGGAAATATAGAAACTCCTACCCTCCCACATGCACAGATTTCTGGGTGATGCCTCCCCAAGGAGTAGAGATAGAAGAAGCGGCAAAGACAAGGGCAGAGACCCAGCACCACTATGCCACACACTTGATGTCAGATACCACCAGGAAAGGGAAAAATCACATTCCAAATTACAAAGGAAAAGGAAAGATGGAAGACCGAAGACACAGATTTTGCTGCAGCAATTCCTTGGAACGTGAGAGCACTCTCTTCGAAACCTCTTCTCTCATTCTCTTTGGAAGCCCAAACTGGGTTCTTGAGTTTGGGGAAGATTTATGGAACAGATGATGCCTACCATTGCCTTTAAAGGGTTAGGGAGGATATATGCTTGGCAGTAAGCAGGCTGAAGGCAGGAAGAAAATTTAGGATGGCAGAATTGCAGTTGGGGCCAGTGGAATACAGGGAGTGGTAGGTTGTACCTGTAGCACTAAGACATCTGGGCGGTTTGGGTAGGCAAAGGAGACATCTTGGAACTGGACAAGGCCCTCCAAGTGTAAGGGAGTCAACAGACCACTGGGTGGGCAGCGAGGGGTGCGGTCCAGGTACTCAAATATTTTCTCTGAGGAGCCCACAGCCTTCTGTACTCTGGGGTAGATGGAGAGCAGTACCTAGAGGGAGGTAAGAATAGTGAAAGTGAGGTAGTCTGCTTGCCAGCATTATGTGAAGCAAGAAGGGTAAAGAATGGAAGGACATCACACAGATGGTGCTGGGCCAGAGGAAGGAATCACACTGGGGAGTGAAGGTGGAGGGACCTCACCTCCACAGCCTGGGTGAACTGCATCTGGTAGAGAACAAATGTGACAAGGTTCCCACTGCTTACAGCCCCACTGGTCACCAGCTGCCCACCAATGTAGAGGATTCCCACTTTCAGCAGCATACCTGAAATCTATAAAGAGACCACAAAAAAAGGGACTGAGGTAGAGAAATCTGGAGGGGACACAAAGAACCACAGTCATTAACCTGAAGGAAATATCAAGTCCCTGTCTCCTAAGTGACATCGGCAGGCTCAATAGGCAGACAGGAGAATGAACCAGAGACCCCATGGAGTCTGACTCAATGCACATCATGCAAGTCACAGTTATCTTCACCACCATCACCACTATCACCTTGTCTGGGGAGCATTTTACTCTTCACAAAAGGCTTTCATTCATGTGATGTCAGCTAATACATGAAGAGCCTTATAAAGAAGGTTATATCACTCCATTTTTGAAAAATGAGGAAACAACCAGTCGGGCGCAGTGGCTCATGCCTGCAATTCCAGCACTTTGGGAGGCCGAAGTGGGCGGATCACAAGGTCAGGAGATTGAGACCATCCTGGCTAACACGGAGAAACCTCGTCTCTACTAAAAATACAAAAAAAAAAAAAAAATTAGCCGGGCGTGGTGGCGGGTGCCTGTAGTCCCAGCTACTCAGGAGGCTGAGGCGGGAGAACGGCGTGAACCCGGGAGGCGGAGCTTGCAGTGAGCCCAGATCGCGCCACTGCACTCCAGCCTGGGCGACAAAGCGAGACTCCAGCTCAAAAATAATAATAATAAGTAAAAATAAACAAACAAACAAACAAATAAATAAATAAAGAGGAAACAGTCTCAGAGAAGGTAAATTTGTTGTCATGATCACAAGACAAGTAAATTGCATCATCAAGCCAGGATCTTCGGATCACTGGCGTAGCTCTCTTTCCAGTGCATCACAGATGTCCCTCATCCCTGGCTTCCACTATTCCCATCACTCTCACTAACAAATCTACAAGGTACCAGCATGAAGCAGTCCCAGGTGCAAGAATTTATGGCGCCCTGCACTTCCCCTGAGAGGCAAAGGAAGGCCCTAGGACTGGAAGACACGCATCTCTCCAATCCACATGGTTGGGTGGATTTTATGTACCATACTGAAAGGAAGCCACCTAGCATCTTTAAAGAGAGGGAGGGGGCTAGGGACACTGAGTAGAGTCATTGAGCCTCAGGTTGCTAGGACGAAAATACTGAACCAACCATTTCCCAGTAAAGAAGGAGTGGGAGCAGGGTCATAGGAATGGGAATGGAGTCACGGCATCTTAAGGACAAGGGAATGGGTATTCATCTTCAGGTGCTCACACTAGTGGTCCAGGAGTTGACTGCATAGGCCACAGCCTCCTTCTGGTTGAGTGTCTTTATTTCTTGCAGCTTTTCCCTAAACTTCTGGGCTTCGCCCTCCTCGTTGGCAAAGCTTCGAACTGTAGGCATGGCCGACAGAGCCTCAATGGCCACCTGGCTGGACTTTGCCAGAGATTCCCGCACCTGCACTTCCAGCAACTGTGGATACATGGACAAGAGATGTCACACGGGTTGGCAAACCATCAGGGACACTAATACCTGAGTTACCTATTTGGAAATTAAAGGTGAGAAGAGACAGAGGAAAAGGAGAAAAGAGAAAGAGACACAGCTATGCCCCTTGGATGCTAAAGAAATACGAGGAAGAGGAAAATGACTCAGAACGGGTTGGGGATCAAATTCTTAAAGACAGATTGTGGGGAGAAGCTAGAAAAGAAGACCCAGAGAGTATGGAGGTTAATGTTGAGCAACCTGGGAACATGGACCACAGGGACAGGGTGTTCCATGAAGATGGAGAATCAGTAAGGGTGCCAGGAAAGCTGGACTGAAAGCAATGTGAGAGGAACTGAGTCTGCCAAGTCTGGGAGATGAGGGTCTGTGTAGAGCGGGCCAACTCCATGAACATACCTGGTACCATTTTCCCACCTTCTTGGGCAGAAGGAAAAGCAGAGGCAGGGTGATCAGGGTGACCATGGTGAGGGACACTGATCCCCAGAGCATGATCCCCAAGAGACATAGGCCTCGCACCAGGTACCACAGAAATAAGCTCAGATTCTCACTCAGAGAATCACTCAGGGTGGACGTGTCCTCTGTTACCCGAGACATGATGTTACCTGCAGGGTTGGGGAGAAGAGAGTGAGGTGAATCAGACAGGTTCCAAGTGATGAGACGAACTAACAATGAGCCAGGATGCCAGGGTCAGGGGTGTCAACATGGGGTTCTAAGGAGGCTGCAGGAAACAAGGTTAGGGTTCTCCAGAGGTCTGCAAATCTCAGTGCAGGGAAGATGAGTGTTAAAGAGGAAAGGCCTGACCTTCATTTTAATTATAAAGTCATTAATGCACATGTGAATTTCCATTTTCCTGAAAGCTTTCTGTTCCCTAGAGAACCTGTATGTCCCATGCTATACACACAGGCAGGAAGAGCTTAAACTGGTCACATAACAGAGATGGAGGAGGAGGGTGCTGCTAGGAAGCATGCCAAAGTCTGTGGAGCACTCACTGGGACTAGGGTTCTAACCCCAGGTCTATCTCTAGCCATATGTAACTGTACAGCTTCTAGTGCTGCTAGAAAGCATGCCGAAGTCTGTGGAGCACTCAAGAGACCAGGGTTCTAACCCCAAGTGTGTCTCTAGCCATATGTAACTGTGCAGTTTCAGCATTTAGGGTCTTGGCCTCAGTTTCCTTCTCTGTCAGATGAGGCAGTTGGTCTCTATGAGCTCAAAATTTCCAGGTTTGAAATTCTATGGTTTCTATCTAAGGATACATAGGAATAGATTTATAAGAAAATGCTAGATGAAAACTCTAGGTTTTTCTTAAGGTAAGGAGGACAATATTTTGCTCCTGAGGTATATCAAGAATGAGAAAAACAATTGTGTGTGTGTGTGTGTGAGAGAGAGAGAGAGAGAGACAGAGACAGAGAGAGAGAGACAGGGAGAGGGTATATCAAGAATGAGAAGGAACAATGTGTGTATGTGTGTGTGAGAGAGAGAGAGCGGGGAGGGGGGAGATCAAAGCAGATGTATGAGGATATGAACAGTACATGGCGTATAATGAAAGAGTTTCAGGAGAAACCTGTCTGGTTCTGTTGGAAAAACTCCGTCTCCTGGCGCAGGACAGCCCCAAACACCTCTCCCTGCAAGTGGCTGTGCACGTGGCCCATGGTGTTGTTATAGATCCCGTCACCCACGAACTCCAGCACTGCACTATAAAGAACCCGGAAAAAAAGGGGATCAGGGTGTGTTCAGGGAACAGACTGAAGGTCCCAGGTATCCCCATATAAGTGCATTTCGGACAGCAGCCCCAACTTCCAACTCCCTCATTTGCAGGGTGCCCCATTTTCAGCCCCCAGACCTGGCTATGGTGAGAATGGACATGAGAGTTAAGTTTCGAGTGAAGGTATCGGCTGAGCCATCTTGTAGAATCCAGTCAGTGAGGCGGCCCGTAAAGAATGGAATGGCCATCTCCCCTGGAGAAAGAGAAGAGAGGTCACGCACAAATATTAAGTCTAAGTAGGTCAGTTCCAGTCAGACTGGCCCCACCACGCCTCCTCCCCCTCACCATTATCCTGGAGGGCATCAGCAGAAAGGAAACACTGACGTCTCAATCCCGAACCTAAATAGGCTGCCCTGGAACTCACTACCCTGTGGTTGCTCTACCAGAACTTTCAGGATTTTATTAGGAAGGCTGGAGATCATGAAGTAGAAAAGCCTCCTGTTAGAGATGAGGATGCCCCGCCCTTCGGCCCCAGAGCAAAGGATTTCCCCGCTTCCGGCGTGGCCCAAAGAATCAAGACCCGGTCAGCAATGGAGCCCAGAACCTCTGGCCCCCGCCAGTCCAGTGCCGTTTCTTCTACACCGAAGTGGTGTTCCAAGACCCACGCTAGGAGTCCTTCTCCTGCTCCACATTTCCCAGAACCCACGCTACTCTACCTTACTGACAATTACCTTTGATTCCTGTCCCAGTCCCCTTGTGTCCTCCCCTCTTGCCCTGCGTTCCCCTTACCAAGAGAGGAGAGGACCACCAGGACCAGGAACAGCGAGAGGCGGCGCGTCTCCGAGCCCAGGCAGCCTAGAAGCCGACGCACAGGGTTTCCAGAGCCGCCCTGACCGCCGGGCACCCAGAGGCTCCCGAGTTTGTGCCACAGGGCTGCTGCGGGCAGTGCCGCTGCATAACTGACAACGAAGGCGGTAGGGTGACTTCCCCAGTGCAGTAGCCTGGTGCTATCCGCGGACCCGGGGGCTCCCCATGAGATCAGCTCTCGGAACAAGGCAAGTCCCGGCAGGGCCAAGCCCAGTGCCGCAGCTAATGGCTTCAAAGCAGCCAGCCAGCCCTGGGCACCTGCGTTTTCGCTCTTGGAGCCAACCGTTGCCCTGAGGACCCCGCAGGCCCCCAGCCAGAGCACGGCCCAGCGGCTCAGGCCCACCGCCCAGACCCGGAGCAGTGGCAGCGCGGTGGGCACCAGCAGGGAGAATATGCGGGGCAGCGCGGTCCGGAGCAGCACCCAGTCGGCGAGAAGTAGCAGTACTGTCCCCAGCCATGCGAGAGAAGCTCCGGGGAGGCAGCGGCACCCGCGGGGAGCGGGACACCTAGAGCTAGCCATTGGCACTCGGACGCCGTCCCGGTCCCGGCCGGGCCTGGGACTCTCCGCGCCCCGGTGGGGCCTGAAGCTCCGGGTACCGCCGAGTCCTCCCCTACTGGCGGCTGGGGGAGGGAACGAGGGCGGGGCTCTCGGAAAGTCCCAGGAACAGGCTGATCCTGCGCTGGCGAGAAGCTCAGCCATTTAGGGGAAAGCGAAATCGAAAGCGGCCGCCTGCTCACTAGATAACGCCTACTTCCAAAAGTGGCCTGCCCAGACTATTTTGGTAGCAAGCGTGGAAATCAGATCTGAGAATCTCGGGAGCAGCCCTGGTGCCCAATTTTCTCCATCACGCACACCCTTCTCGCCTCTCCCTGCCTCCTGCCTTTCCACTTGCACCAGTTTTCCCACCCCAGCCTCAGGGCGGGGCTGCCTCGTCACTTGTCTCGGGGCAGATCTGCCCTACACACGTTAGCGCCGCGCGCAAAGCAGCCCCGCAGCACCCAGGCGCCTCCTGGCGGCGCCGCGAAGGGGCGGGGCTGTCGGCTGCGCGTTGTGCGCTGTCCCAGGTTGGAAACCAGTGCCCCAGGCGGCGAGGAGAGCGGTGCCTTGCAGGGATGCTGCGGGCGGGAGCACCAACCGGGGACTTACCCCGGGCGGGAGAAGTCCACACCGGGGTAATGGGTCTGGGCTTGAGGGTTGGCAGAGGGGTGGAGGAGATGCAGCGGCCAGGGGACCCTGGAAGCGCGCGCGGAGAAGTGAATGCAGAGACCAACGGGAGCGCAGGGAGGTCGCCTGTAGCAGCCAGCGCTTGCAACCCGCAATGAGCATAGAGTATTTCTTTTCTGAGGGGGGTCGTCTAGAGTGTCCGTGAAGGGAACAGGCACGCGAGGCTGGTGGAAAAAGCGGGTGCTTTGACTCTTAGCTGGAAGCGTCAACGGGAAGCTACTCTAAAGCGCTTTCGCTTTCACTCTGGTCCCGGACAGTGGGGGCTGGTTAAATCAAGAAAGGGGGTTGGGGATGGTGCAAAGAGATGAGGAAATGGTGCCCTGGGTGAAGTAGAACAGCACTTGGGAGAAGGAAATATAGGCACTTATTGAGAAGGACCAACTCATCACACAGACTTTTGATAAACTTGCCACTGGGCAACTCTTAGCCCAAGCACTGATAATGGGCGTTCTGTGTTAACTAGTGATGCCCTTCCCTAGCTTGACCCAGGAAGGCCTCTCCTTGGCCCAGATGCTGCCTTACTCCCTTCCCTGTGTCTTCCCTGCCCACTCCCATGTGCCCACTGGGGGGACTTTGCTTAGGATGGGCGCCTGGGGCAGATGGCAGCCCCAAGACTGGCTGGCTGGCTTCTGCTCTGGACTACTGCCACCACTCGTGGCTTGGGGGCGGCTTTGTTAGAGAGGAATAGCCTCTAACTTGAAGTTAACCCTGTTCTTTGACCCTCTATTCATGATAAGTCGGTCCGTCGGAAAGCATACTCAGAGGAGCGTCCTTTGGGGCCAGAGTAACTTACGGCCTGGTAAGAAAGACACAGTGAAACCACTTATAATTTGGGAAATCTCCCCTCACTGCCAAATGAGCAGTGGCAAGTAGGAAGTAGAAGTGGAAACAAGGGATAAGAGTTAGACCTGAATTTTAGTCCCAGGTCTACTATTAACTCTGTGTGACTTTGCATAAGTCGTTTGCATTTTCTGTGACTTGGTTTCCTCATTTGAACCGAGGATCTTTAAGGCTCCTTCCAACTCAATAGTAGAATAAATGTAGCTTTATCTTCCCTCACTTCTTCTTGATTCTTTTCTTGACCTGGAAAAGTCAGCTTAAACTTCTCAGTCAAATTATCTCTTGGTACAAATTTACCTCCCTGGCTGCTGAGATATGTATTTACCTCTTGATCGGAAATTCCATAACTGAAACTTTTATTTTCAACCATCTGTATGTGTTCCTTGCTGCTTCTCTCCTGCCTTGCCCCTGGCCATGCTAACCACTGCCCTCCTCGATTTTTTCCAATGTTCAGTAAATTGGAAGAGCTCACTTCTGATGAAATGGGGGGTGAGAGTGGAGGATTGTGGACCAAAAAAAAAAAAATAGACTGACCTTGTTTCCCAAGATCATAGTCAATTACTCTGTGTTGGGTCTACACCACATCTGCACATACTATGAGCCCTTCCGTTGGAGATAATTTTCACTTGCGGAGCTGCTTCACTTCTACCTGTAGGAGCCTCATCTCCACCTCTCTACAGTGGAGAGGATTCCACTAGGCAAGTTGGAACTTAGGGACACAGTTCTTTCTGTGTTGTATCACAGCTGGGCTGTGGCATTCCCCTGCAGCCGGATGAAGCAATAGAGAAAGTGGAAAGATGAAGGGAAAAAAAGCCTGTACTGACAGTCAGCTCTGGCCTGTTACTGTGTAATCTTTGAGCCAGTCACTTCGCCTCTCTGGGAATGTTTCTTCTTCTCTAACATGAGGGCATCAAGGCTGTTCTTGCCCTGACATTCCATATTCTGTGTCTCTGCAGACCACCATCATGGCAGTGGAGTTTGACGGGGGCGTTGTGATGGGTTCTGATTCCCGAGTGTCTGCAGGGTGAGTAAAAGTGAAGATGTATGCATTTGGAAAGAAGCTAATGGCCTCAAATACACACTTTCCTTACCCATTCATGAAAAGACTGGCAAACTGGAGCCTTGGAGGAATGGAGTTGACCTTCCCCAAAAGCCACTATGATAAGCTATTTGGTGGGTGCTTGGGTCTCTGAATTTGTGGAGGAGGATCTGGGGTCTGAATGTGTATGTGACCTGTCCCAGTAGTGTACAGGGATGAGTAAAGGAATAGGGTCTGAGAGGGGGACAGGAGATAGATTTTTGAGGGTCTTCTTTCCATCTGTGCTTAGGGATCAAAAAGATGATTCTGTCAAGCAGATACCTGGTTTCTCATTTACCATATATTGAACTATTTTGTCTCTTCTCCCACTCCTAACCAATTTCCTCACATGCAAAATGAGTATATGGGGTTAGGTCAATATTACTGACATTATGTTCCATAGAACATAACTCTCTCAAGATTGTTAATAGCAAAGAAAATTGATGAGGCATATTTTTCTTACCTTAGCATTTTTTGCTTTGTTATAAAATCTAAGCCTGAAAAATAAGCCTAATTTTGATTAACATCTGCAGTGATTAATAATATCTGAGATGATTATTTGCCTCCTGCTTTAATCCAAGCATTAAACTTCATGCTATTCTCTTGTCAAAGAAATTTGAGAGACATTGAATGATCACCCTCAAAAATTCCTGAGTTCTGGTTGGGTGCAGTGGCTCACATCTATAATCTCAGCACTTTGGGATGCCGAGGTGGGCAGATATTTGAGGTCAGGAGTTTGAGACCAGCCTGGCCAACATGTTGGGACCTTGTCTCTACTGAAAATACAAACATTAGCTGGGCTTGGTGGTGGGTGCCTGTAATCCCAGCTATTCGGGAGGCTGAGGCAGGAGAATCACTTGAACCAGGGAGGCGAAGTTTGCAGTGAGCCCAAGATTGATCCACTGCACTCCAGCCTGGGTGACAGAGTGAGACTGTCTCAAAAAAAAAAAAAAAAAAAAAAAACCTGAGTTTTAACTTGGTGACTGTTGACTCCCTCCTGACAGCGAGGCGGTGGTGAACCGAGTGTTTGACAAGCTGTCCCCGCTGCACGAGCGCATCTACTGTGCACTCTCTGGTTCAGCTGCTGATGCCCAAGCCGTGGCCGACATGGCCGCCTACCAGCTGGAGCTCCATGGGTATGAAGCTCTGGAGTTCTGACTCCCCACCCACTAGAGCTCCCCCAACCTGCATGAATCCCTGTACAGTGTGCTGTTCCAGGAGCTGGACACTGGGAAATGGAAAAGTCTTGTTTCGGCTCTTGCTGGCACTTGAATCTGTCAGTTTCTGCATCTGTAAAGTGGAGATAATATAGTACCTCATGAGACGGTTATTTTGAGAACCACATTCTATATGTGAACACAGTTTAAAAGCTGTAAATCACTATCCTGATATAAATAATCAGGAAGAAGGTGATATTGTGACCCACCATAATATCAGGCAGTTACCATACGAGAAATCAAGGTCGTTGGGACGGAAGTAACCTTATCTGCTTTTCCCCATAAGAGCAGGGTCCTTGCAGCCAAAAGAAAGTTATGTGGGTGGGGCTGAGCAAAAGAGTGAGCAATTGAAAGCTTCTTACCAGTTGGTGGTGTGGGACTCTGGTTCCCCTGTACATGTGGGAGGGAGGCTGCAGTTTGAGCTATTGCAGTTACAGTTTTCAGGGGTCGTTTAGCAGGGATGATGGTAACAGTATAGGAGAATGAGACTTAAAATTCTATCAACCTTTATTCCTAATATTTCCCTCAGGATAGAACTGGAGGAACCTCCACTTGTTTTGGCTGCTGCAAATGTGGTGAGAAATATCAGCTATAAATATCGAGAGGACTTGTCTGCACATCTCATGGTAGCTGGCTGGGACCAACGTGAAGGAGGTCAGGTGAGTTTCTCCCAAAGCACTCTCTCCTCTGGGCTTCCCCACTCTCCTGCAGAGGAAGATGGAAGTCCTATGTCATTCTAGCAATGAGTTCCAAGGACACTACCTCTGAAAGCATAGTACTTTGGGGATATGAGATACCAGGGCTTCATTGCAGGGTGCAGAGACCACTTAATGTCTCAGTGGGAAGGAAGGGCTTGATGATTCTTTAACCTGAGGATCCCTTTCCCAGGTATATGGAACCCTGGGAGGAATGCTGACTCGACAGCCTTTTGCCATTGGTGGCTCCGGCAGCACCTTTATCTATGGTTATGTGGATGCAGCATATAAGCCAGGCATGTCTCCCGAGGAGTGCAGGCGCTTCACCACAGACGGTAACCAGCCAAGTGGAAGGGTACCTGGGGAGGGCTTTGAAACATGGGAAGGAAGTAGATTATGAGGAACAGGAAGAGAAATACAGGGGTGGCCATTTAAGTTAATGCCGGGCCTGGTACACTTTTAAGAGTGAAAAGGGGCAGGACAAATGCAAAGCTCAATGGGGTTCTTGGGCAATACGGATAAACCAGGGCTGTTCTGAGTAAATCAAATGAGGATACACAGTCACTGTGAGAACCAGTGGTGTGCTAAGCACAGTGGCTCACACCTGTAATGCCAACAATTTGGGAGGCTGAGGCAGGAGGATTACTTGAGCCCAGGAGTTTGAGGCCAGCCTAGGCAAGATGGTGAAACCCTGTCTCCACAAAAAACAATAAAAAAAAGTAAAAAAAAAAATGAACTGGGCATAGTGGTGCACACCTGTAGTCCCAGCTACTCAGGAGGCTGAGGTGGAAAGATCATCTGAGCCGGGGAGATCAAGGCTGTAGTGAGCGGTGATTGCACCACTGCGCTGCAGCCTAGGTGACAGAGAGAGACCCTGTCTGGAGAAAAAAAAAAAAAAAAAGAACCAGTGGTGTGCTGAGGTGTGCTGAGGCTGGCTTGGGACCACTCATGAGAGCGGACTGTTAAATAGTCAAGGATTTGTGAACTGCTTAGCTATTTGTAACTTGCAATTCATCATAGCGGGAGCATTTACACCACGGACATCAGCAGATGCCACATATGGAAGCCTTTTTGTAAAAAAACTGATTTACCAGCACACCACTAAATATGCCTTCCTGGAAGATGAGTTTTGAGGTGAAAGTGGTAGTAGGCATATGGATGGAGGGGGAGTAAAAAGATTTTTGAAGCTAAGCCATCCTCTCTCTCCCTCTCTCCAACTTGAAACCCTCTGCAGCTATTGCTCTGGCCATGAGCCGGGATGGCTCAAGCGGGGGTGTCATCTACCTGGTCACTATTACAGCTGCCGGTGTGGACCATCGAGTCATCTTGGGCAATGAACTGCCAAAATTCTATGATGAGTGAACCTTCCCCAGACTTCTCTTTCTTATTTTGTAATAAACTCTCTAGGGCCAAAACCTGGTATGGTCATTGGGAAATGAGTGCTCAGGGAGATGGAGCTTAGGGGAGGTGGGTGCTTCCCTCCTAGATGTCAGCATACACTCTTTCTTCTTTTGTCCCAGGTCTAAAACATCTTTCCTAGAGAAAACAAAAGGGACTAAACTAGAAATATAAAGAGCCCTATACATGACAGGTGATCACGTACTGAATGATTTTGAAGTAGTACAAACAATAAAAATTCTCATTCCGCATCATCATGCGGTCCATGATGATGAGGCCGCAAGTGAGGTGATGGGACTCTTTCCTTTAAGGCTAAGACTGACAGATAGGCAAGACACCTACACACATGAGAATTAGCTAAGACTATCAGCAAACTCGCATGTAAAAGAATTCCTTTCATAATGCATTCATTCATATTAAAGGGCAATACATGAAAAATGCTTAAATATTTTGGGGCACTTGTGAATTTCAAAGAATAATGACAATAACCAAAAGAAGCTACATTTGTGGCATTGGCTAAATGTTTTATAAATTTTATCTCTTAAAATTCAAACCAAAAAACCCCCTGTATTCACACCTGTAATCCCAGCACTTTGGGAGGTCAAGGCGGGAGGATTGCTTGAGCCCAGGAGTTAGTGACCAGCCTGGGCAACATAGTGAGAACCCCATCTCTACAAAAAAATTTAAAAATTAGTCGGGTGCGGTGGTGCATGCCTGTAGTCCCAGCTGCCTGGGAGGCTGAGTGGGAGGATCGCTTAGGCCTGGGAGTTTGAGGCTACAGTGAGCTGTGATTGCGCCACTGCACTCTAGCGTGGGTGACAGAGAAAGACCCTATCTTAAGAAAAAAAAAAGAAAAGAAAAAGAAAAAACAAACAAAAAAAACACCCAACCCTATATAGGTATTATTATTACTTCTATAGGACACATAGAGGTTTGGAAAGATTAAATCACTTGACCAAGGTCACAAAATAAGTTCTGAGGCTGGGATCTGGGATTCAGTCTTATTATATGCCCTTCCTCTACCACTCCCTAAAACTTCTCATTCCCTCAATCCCCATATATCATCTTAAAATCTGCAATAAATAGCCCCATACATTCGTTGGCACTTAGGAAACTGTTACCAGATGGCTGAGTAACTGTATTAAAACAAATTTAATTCTGCTTCTATCTTTGCCTTGCACTTCCTGAGTGACAGGAGTGAACTCTCATATCCTTTTCTGTCAAAAGATGGTGCTGAATGATTTCTAAGGTAGTTTACAGTTCCAACATTCAATGCCATTTTGCTAACAAGTGGGCAGTCAACAGGCATATTCAACAGAAATACTAGTAGGATCTCAGGCTAAACATACGAATTCAAAACTCTAAAACAATCACATCCCCCTGGAGTGTAAAGAAAAAAATCTAAAATTACAAATGCCTGGAGTTGTTTCTAGCCATGATATTTAACTTATTTGAGATTTTAAATAGCCCATTTTTCCCACTGATCACAAGTAGAAATTCTGGGCAGTATACAAAAAGCAAGTACTCAAGGACTCCAAAAAGTAAACAAAAGCAGGTGGATTGTGAAGAGGGTCAAAACTGGGAGAGGGGCCCCTCCTGGGGAGTGGGTTTTCAATGTTTTCCCCTTTTTTCCTCCCAGCTCTGCCCTGACGTCAGGCCTCAGGTGCAGAGCTGCACTGCGTGGTAGCACAAGCCCTGAGTTAACAAGAGAAATACCGGCTTTCTGGCCAGAGGAATGAAGAAAAAGGGCCCCTGCGGGCAGGAATGTGTAGGGGAATCTCCAAACTGAGAGTACAGGCGGAAATTCCCTAATTCTGAGTCTGAACCCTCAGGAGTACCAGGTTACCCCTGAGCTGCACATGCGTGTGACATGCCTTAAGGGCACAGCAAAGACTTTGAGAACTGAATGAAGATTAGATCTTTTAAAATTGGAAGACTTCGGCCAGGCGCGGTGGCTCGTGCCTGTAATTCCAGCACTTTGGGAGGCCAAGGCGGGTGGTTCACCTGAGGTCAGGAGTTCGTGACCAGTCTGGCCAACATGGTGAAACCTCATCTCTACTTAAAATACAAAAATTAGCTGGGCATGGTGCCTGTAATCCCAGCTACTCGGGAGGCTGAGGCAGGGAGAATCGCTTGAACCCGGGAGGCAAAGGTGGCAGTGAGCCAAGATTGCGCCATTGCACTCCACCTGGACGACAAGAGAGAAATTCCATCTCAAAAAAAAAAAAAAAAAAAAAATTAGAAGACTTCATTTTTCTGTATTGGCCAAATAACTGTTCTAATGCCCTTCATTCCAATAAAAGGTTTGTAGCAGCTTACAGAGATAATTTAAAACAATTTTTAAAAGAAGAAAACAACACTGGGTCAGAGAGAAAATATGGTTAAGAAAAGTAAGTGAAGCCAAGGAGTGAAACTAATGGAAACTAATGGACAACGTGAATATCTTAAAAAAAAAAAAAAGTGGTGCGCTGTCTTATACTGGCTAGCAAGAGCAGACTGCAAAGTATTCAGGATTTTTGAAGACAGTTGTTAACTATTGGTAACTTGATATTGACCACTATGGAAGTATTTATACTATAGAAATCAGCAATGCTACAAGTCAGAAGCATTGTTTTTCTTCAGAGAGCCGGTTTAACAGGACACATATTTATCAGCCAACTATAAATGGATAAAAAATAATTGGCTCCAGGCCATAGGATAGTGAAAGCAAAGAAGGAAATAAAATGAGGTACAAGATTCATAAAATTCATTTTTTAAAAGTTGCCAGAAAACCAAAAATTATATATAATAGTTCAAGCCACACAGAACATTTACTCAAATAGGACATGCATCATTCCATAAAGGTAACGCCAATAAATTCCAGAGTATCGGTATCTTAGAAACTATCTATATTCTAGGCCAGGAGCAGTGGCTCATGCCTGTAATCCCAACATTTTGGGAGGTCAAGGTGGGCAGATCCCTAGAGCCCAGGAGTTTGAGACCAGCCTGGGCAACATGGCAAAACCCCGTCTCTACAAAAAATTTAGCTGGATGGGGTGCACCTGTAATCCCAACTAGTCAGAAGGCTAGACGGGAGGATCGCTTGAACCCAGGAGGCAGAGGTTGCAGTGAGCTGAGATTGTGCCACTGCCCTCCAGCCTGGGCAACAGAGTAAGACACTGTCTTAAAAAAAAAAAAAAAAAAAGAAAAAGAAAGAAAGAAACTATATTCTGCAACCATACTGTAATAAAATTAGAACTTGATAACTAAAATATACTTAAAATTGTAAGTGAACAAATATATTTATCAGTAACATGGATTTAAAAGGCAGTCGTGGATGGGAGCATCGCTGGAGTCCAGAAGATGGAGGCTGCAGTGAGGCATGATTGCGTCACTGCACTCCAGCCTCAGCAATAGAGTGGGACCCTGTGTCAAATAAATAAACAGCAGTTATAAAGAAAATTAACTCTTTTAGAACCAGGTGTTAAAAATGTTACACATAAAATATACATATAAAATAATATTATAATTTCAAATACATTTATTAGAACAAGAAAAGTTAAAATAAAGGACCTAGAAATTCTACTCAAAAATTTGGAAAAAGAGAAGTTGAGCAAACCTAAAGAAATACGAAGAAAAGGAGTTATAAAGATAAGAATAGAAAGCAATGAAACAGAAATAGAGAACAAAAAACTAGGTAGTGAAAATTAACATACTTTTGATTCCAAAAGCTGCTTACTTAAAAATATTTGTAAGATATTCAGAGTTACAACAAGGCCGATTATGGATAAAGGGAGAAAAAATGAATAAACAAATACATAATGAAAAAGGGGGAACAGCTACAGATATGACACAGATATAAAGCATAGAGTGTTATGAACAAGTATATGCTAATAAATTTGAAAACCTAGGTGAGATAAGCAAATTCCTAGAAACATTTAATCTATCAAAATTAGCACAAAAAGAAATACAAAACTTGACTATACCAATGAGTATTAAAGCAATTTTTAAAGTTATCAATGGCATCTAATAAAAAAATATATTTTTGAAAATGCCCAGATGGTTTCACAGATGAGTTCTATCAAACATTCAAGGAACATGAAACTTCTATATTATATACTTTTTCCAGAAAACAGAAAAAAACTAAACCTGATTAGCTAATTTTATCAGCCGAGTGTAATCTTGACTCCAAATTGAGTTGTGGAAAACTCAAGGAAAAAAAAATAATAGACCCATTTCACCTTGAACACAGATGGGAGAAAAAAATAATTATTTATGAACCGAATTCAACAATATTACAAATAATAATACTGGGAGGCCGAGGTGGGAGGATCGCCTGAGGCCAGGAGTTCAAGACCAGCATTGTCAACATACTGAGATCCTGTGAGATCCTGTCTCTACAAAAAATTAAAAAATTAGCCAGGTGTGATGGTGAGCACCTGTAGTCTCAGCTACTAGGGAGGCTGAGGCAGGAAGATCATTTGAGCCCAGGAGTTTGAGGCTGCAGTAAGCTATGATTGCACCACTGCATTTCGGCCTGTGCAACAGAGCAAGGCCCTGTCTCTAAAAATATGTATAATAATAACAATAATAATAATGATTATGCTAATAATGATACATCAAGATCAAATAGGGAATCCTTGGAATACTAGGGTGGTTCAATATAATAAAACATATTGTTGCTATAATTTACCATATTCATAGAAAAGTCATTTCCTTTGCTCAGTCTATTAATAAAAGACATTTGGTAAAGTATATCCATTTGTGATTTTTGAAAAACAGTTAAGGAAGCAGGAATCAAAACTTTCCTATTTTGGCAAAGGTTATAATCCAAAAAATCTGTAACCACTAGTATACATAACGGAAAAACCTTGGGTATCCAAGACAAGAATGTTCACTATAATTACTAGCTTATCATAGCACTAAAAACTATGGGCAACATAACAAGACCCCATTTACCAAAAATAAATTTAAAACATTTTAATTAGCTGGCATGGTGGCATGCACCTGTAGTCCTACCTACTTGGGAGGCCAAGGCAGGAAGATTGCTTGAGCCCAGGAGTTTGAGCTTACTGTGAGCTGTGATCACACCACTGCACTCCAGCCTGGGTGACAAAGGAAGACCGTATTTCTAAAAAATAAAAAATACAAATACAACTACAAACTAGCACTAGACCAACAGTGACTATGTACCATGAACTGAGGAATATTATTAATTCCACCATTTGCATCTGAGGTTAACAATATGTCAATGACTTAAATAACATCATATCTCTGAGAGTAATTTCTCCTATATTTCCATGACAAATGTTAGATAATTTTCCATTTTTTCCATTCAATAAAATAAACAGGAAATATAATTAAAGAGTTCAATTGAGGATTGGGATTTAGAAAGGAAGGCAGGAATTAAGAATAATCCTTAGTTCTCTTCCTAATTTGCACCTCTCTCACTGATACATATGTATTATTTTCTTTTTATGTCTTTTAGAATCTAATAAACATGTTTTATATTATATAACAAACTAGAATATATGGATTATCTTTGGTCTTCCTTACCAAGTTCTTAACTCTGCTGGCTCTGGGGCACTGGACATACCATGTAAGAAGAAAAATGTTTTAACTCCATTGAACTTATTCAGAAGCATCGGAAATTGGTTCAGCAATATTCAACTTTGCCCAGCAATGTTTATGAAAGTTTCATATATAGTATAGTATAAGTATGTGTAATACAGAATTTATGTTCTCAAAAATGAAGAGATAAAGTATGGAGATTCTAAACTCTGTTGACATAGAAGAGGGTGGATTTCTCGAAGAAACAGCCTTCTATAGAAAGTGGCTTGTATGAGTCGGGATTCTCCAGAGAAGCAGAACCAATAGGATGTTGGCAGAGAGAGATTTATTTTAAGTAATTGGCTCATACTACTGTGGGAGCTGGCACGGTCGAAATCTGCAGGTAGGCTGGAGACCCAGGAAGAGCTGATGTTGCGGCTTGAGTCTGAAGGTGGTCCAGAGGCAGAATTCCCTCTTCCTTGGAGGACCTCAGTCTTTGCCCCTAAGACCTTCAACTGATTGGAAGGGCCACTTACATTATGGAGGGTAATCTGCTTTACCCAAAATCTATTGATTTAAATGTAAATCTCATCTAAAAAATACCTTCACTGCAATATCTAGACTGGTATTCAAATGTCTAGAAACCATAGCCTAGCCAAGTTAACACATAAAATTAACTATCACTTGGCTCAAGGTGAAACTTCCAGATCAATGTGGCAGGAGTGTTGAGGAAGGAAGTGAACTCGGTTCTAACCAAGTAGGACAGCCGAATCATCACTGAAGTGTGGCACTGGCCTTTCGCCAAGGTAACATGTGGCAAGGTTTTAGGTTAGGATAGGTACCAGGCAAAAGCTGGGTGACTCGATGGAGGCTTTTGTGCCAACCTTCAGAGACTGGCTGCGTCAGACTGCCCTCAAGAGCATACAAAGGAAAAAAAGACAAATTAAAAGCCTTTAATCCAAACTCAAGACATGAATGAAAAACTGTAAATGCCTCTATAGCAGTTTTAAAGGCTATCTTTTCTCCTGCAACCCAGCACAGATATGGCTGAGGGTCAAGCCCGGGGGCTTATGATAAAGGTTATGAAGTTGTAGAAATGTTTGTTGCATCATCCAACAGCAGCTGTTGTGATAAGGCAAGACCCCTGGTTGGGATAGACCGGACCCTGAGATATGAAATAGGGACATATGAGCAGACACAGAGAAGTCTGAGTGAGAACTATGAATCACCGCACCCCCTGAGGGTCCTTGCTGGAAGAAGCAGACTCACCGTATTAGTTACCTATTGCCATGTAATGAATGACACCCGCTTAAAATAACAGACATTTACTATAAGGTGTTACTGGGACAATAGGGGATTTTTTAATATGGATTGTGTGTTTGATAATATGGTATCAATTTTAAGTATCTTGGGGGTGATGACAGTATTAGGGTTTTGCAGGAGAAATGTCCTTATTCTTAAATTATACATGACAAAATATTTAGGGGTCAAGTGGCATAATTTCCACAGATTACTCTCAAATTGTTTAACAAAATGGTTCTTCAACAGTAAATGGATAAACAAAACGTAGTCTATTCGTGCAACACAGTACTATGTAAACAATGAAACTTCATCAACTACTGAAAATGTAACAACATGGACGAATCTCATAGAAACAATATTAAGTGAAGAAGCCAGACTTGCAGAAATACATACTGTATGTTTCCATTATCTATTGCTGGGCAGCACACCAACTCCAAACTTAATGGCTTAAAACAAAAATAATCATTTTATTATCTCTCATGAATCTGTGAATTACTGGACTTTAAGAGCCACTGATGTAGTCCATGAACCAAAACACATATTCACGGCAGCCACTCCACCCAGCACCTCACACCTGTGATGTTTACTGGCTGCCCATGGGATTTGAACACCTTTAGAGTACTGTGAAATTTCCCCTACCTTTTGAGTCCTGCCTCCCTAAAGTGGAAACCAGAAAGCTCACTTCCCCTAGCCTTCTTTGAAGCTAGAGCACCTAAGTTCCACCAATTAAATTCATCCACCTAAGACTTCAGTTACAAAGGGGCCACAGGAGGAACCAGGGTGTGGGGGTTGCAGAGCACCTTTTACTGTATTTATTTCTCTGGCAAAGGTGACAGAAGAAGCAACTGTCTTTTGGGGAAGCGGTGGGTTTTTTCCTTTTTTTTTTTTTTTTTTAAGTGAAGTTCCTGAAACAGAAGTGGTTTAGGAGGTGTCTTCAGTGGTGGCTGCAGCAACCTCCAGGTCCTAACAACAGAACCAACAGCAGCGTCTAGAAGCCATGGGGCAGCAGCAGTGGTGTGGCTCATCAGACCTGCTCTCTGCGTGGTCTGACCCTGTACATACATGTGCCTCTCATCCGTAGTTCCAGCATTTCCTCTCTAAAGTCTAGTTCTGAGAGAAATTTCTTTGGTAGACTTTTCAAAGTTTTATCAAACTCAAAGAGGGAACCAGCAAGAATACAAGAGCCTTGATCCAAAGAGTATTTGAAAAACAGAGCTGTATCTCTCTGTGAGGAAATAATTTCTAGGCTAGAGATTCAAAATGGCTAACGTGCTAGAGGGCAATAAAATCATAACCTTGGTGTTATCTTCTTTACCGGAGAAAAAGAGAAAGCCAGCATCCCTTATCAGCTCTCTGCTGATTAACCTCTAATCGCACAGGGCTGGCCGGGTTCGTCTTAGGCAAATTACAATCCCTGAAACACTCTGGTTTTGATCAGGCAGAATTATGAGCAAAGGTTCAAGTGTGATATAAAATAATCAAGCACGTACAATTTTGCCTTATTTATAATTTTGAAACACTTTTCCTACACAATTTCTGACCTTAAGGGGCAGAATTAACCAAATAAAACTTTTCAGAAATGCTCTAATTCAGTTCCACTCATTTTATCGTCTCTATTTGGCCTGTTTTAGGGCTAAACCCAGAAGCAAAATCTTCTTCAAAATGAATGTATTGACAGTCACCATGCCAGACTTGGAGTACGAACAAGAGCATCCTTTTACCCTTACTGAAACCTATGTGGTCACTAAAACATATATCAATAATATTTTTAACCTGGACAAAATTAATCTAGAAAATTGAGCTACTGTTTTTTATTTGTCAGCTTTTACCACATTGTGGGTTTGAGACACAGGTAGTTCTTTTGATAGTACAGCGTTAATTTAAAATATAAAAATCATGCCAAACACATCTAATTACTTTTAGCTTCCTTCACAGTAGGCGGAGGAAGGTGAAAAATTAAGCCTTTTGCGCCACCTAGTGGCCAAATGGGTAGTGGCTGTCTAGTGAGAAAAAACAAAGATTTGGGGGCGTGAAAAATAGCTTGACAGTGTTAGTATTCTGAATTCAGGGTATGAGGTTGGAAGAAGGCAACAACAAAAAAGAATTTTCAGAGAAACTGGTCACTTAAGTGCATAGGTACCTGAGAGTGAGCAATTGTTATAACTTTGATATCTCAATAACCAGAGTGACAATAAAACATTTGAAAATAAACATAAAGAAGGTAACAATTATAAGAAACTTTAGGTGTTTCAGAAGCAAATGGTTTTTTGTTGTTGTTTGTTTTTAAAATAATTTAAAAACTTGATGCTATCAGCACAAAGCACTAAAAGTTATCAAGGTATTAAGTGAGAGCATTCTGATAAGAAACCACCGCTAGCTGGGCAGATTATGCTAAAGGGAAAGAAAAAGTTTTTTCTCTGTCTTAAGTGTAGAGTGTATATTCCAAGATCAATTTTAAATTACAAATCCTCTCCTTTTTTGCTTATTAATTCGAATTCATCATTACGTGTGTGTTTTACAGAAATACATATATAGTTGAATGACAATTTTGTTTAAAACTTTCCACTTTAGTTTTAAAACGTAGTTAATCTTATCAATACAATACATGAATGTATATCCACACTAAGTTTACCACCTTAATTTGAGTTTTGCAAAAATTAAATATGGACAAAGGTATATATATAGAAAGCCACTTAGTGACCCAATAATCTTTCTCTCTATGATACACTTAAGAATTTTTTAGACAATAAAAAGTCACTTATTAACTAGCTCAGTGAAAATTAGTCCAAAGTAACAAAATCATTTGAGGCTGCAAAACAACAATATCACTATTGATATTAGGAGTTTTTCAAAGAGGTAAAATTCTAAAATTTTTACATAGAGTGCAAGCTAAGTAGCTAAGTCAAATGACTTGCAATATTTTTCTGAAATTCACAAGAGCCAATAGTTTAAAAAAAGCATCTCATAACATTTAATTAAAAATATACATTTTCATTTAAGTTTGCTTCCCACAAACCACTGACACACTCATTGACACAGTGAATGAGTCTAGTGACAAGAAACAAATCCTTTTTGTTAGGTCACTTCTAACACTCTGCCTCCAACAAAATAAAGAGGACCTATTCAAGCTGTCAGCTATTATATCATTTAAAGTAATTTTGGGAAGGAGGCCAGGCAGGAGGATCGCTTGAGGCCAGGAGTTCAAGACCAGCCCTGGGCAACATAATGAGACCCTGTCTCTATGAATAATAATAATAAAATTAGTCAGGCATAGTTCGATGTGTCATAGTCCTAGATACTCTGAAGGCTGAGGCAGGAGGATCACTTGAGCCCAGGAGTTCGAGGTTACAGTGAGCTATGATCGCACCACTACACTCCATCTTGGGTAATGGGGCCAGCCAAACACCACAGAAAAAACTGCGACTCCACCCCCACCAGCTAAGGTCAAATGAGGAGCCTAGACTTTCACCCTCACCAGGCTGTCATAAGGAACCCAACACTTCAACACACACATGCACACACACCAGGATGGTGTCAGAGAAAGTGAATAGGGAGTCAGGATGGTCATGCCCTCTTGGTGAAAATGTACTCCTTTCCCCAAGCCCCTGAAATGTCAATGGAAACCTAGACTTCCATTCCTCACCCAACAGTAATGAAGCATCTCTTCCCCTCTCCTCTAGGGTGATGTCAGACAATGCCTAATGGAGAGTCAGGATTTTCATCACCACCCAGAGTTAATCCAGCAACCACTCCCTGATACCTACCACTCACTCCTCCACTCCACTGTCCCATCTTGGTGTCAATAAAGGTCATGTGAGGGATAGTAAGTGGCACTCCTCTCCCAACCAACCAGGGAGGTATTAGTGGGCACCTAATAGGGAGCCAGAATTTCTGTCCCCACTCAGTAATAATGGGGACCTATCTGAGGTGTCAATGAAGGCAGAGTGAGAAGCCTGGACTCCTACCCCTACCTGGCGTCATGAAGCTCACCTGCCTACCTGCTGGAGAGGTGTTAAAAGAAGCCAGCTAAAACAGTTTAAATAAGACCAATAGCCTTATAACATAATGCCTGAAATGTCCAAGTTTCAATTGGAAATTATTTGTCATATCAGGAACCAGGAATATCTCAAATTGAATTTTTAAAAGACAATAAAATAGATGCCAAAACGGAAAGAAAAGCCTGATGAAGATTTTAAAGCCACCATTATTAAAATGCTTTGATGAGCAATTAACACTTAAAAGAATGAAAAAAATAGGATGTCCAGTTCAGTGGTTTAAAAAAAGAAAGAAGAAGAAAAGAGCAGAAAAGAAAAAAATAGGATGTTTCAGCATAAAAATAGGATATATACGGAAGAAAACGTGGAAATTTTAGAACTGAAAAGTGCAATAGCCAAAATAAAAAGCCCAGTAAATAAGCTCAGCAGCAGAAGGAGAGAACAGAGGAAAGAATTAGCTACCTTGAAGACACAGCAATAGCAATCACTTAATCTGAACAAAAGAAAGAAAGAAAATACACTGGAAAAAATGGACAAAGCCTCAGGGACCCATGGGGCTATAACAAAAGATTTAATGTTCATGTACTCAGAGTCCCAAAATGAGAGGAAAAAGAGAGTGAAGCTGAAAAAAATTATCAAATAAATATGGTTGAAAACTTCCCAAATTTGGCAGAAGACATAAACCTAGTGATTTAAGAAGGTGAGTGAACCCCAAATAGGACAAACCCAAAGAAAGCCACACCAAAATCATAGTAATTAACTAAAAATTAAAGATAAAAAGAATCTTGAAAGCAGTGAGATAAATGACATCTAACAGGTGAAAAAAATGACAGAGCAAAATTTTCATCAGAAACTGTGTAAGCCCGAAGGAGGTCACCACCTTTTTCCAGTGCTGAAAGGAAAAAAAAATATCAACTTAGAACACTATATCAGCAAAAATATCCAGGGAAATTAAGACATACAGAGATGAGGGAAAACTAACAGAATTTGTCACTAACAGGTCTACCCTAAAAAAACAAAAAGTTAAATTGAGGACAGTTGGAACATCAGGAAGGAAGAAAGAACATGGCAAGAAAAAATATGGGTTAAAAAATGGACTTTACTTCTTCTCTTGAGTTATTTAAATTATAGGATTGAAGAAAAACGTATAATACTGTATCATATGGTTATAAATGTATATAGAGAAAATATTACAGGCAATTATAAATGAGGGAGGGTAAACAAAGAGAGAAGAAATTTCTACACATCACTCAGACTGGTAATTAATGACAATAAATAAGTTACATAAATATAATGTAATACCTAGAACAACCACTAAAAGAGCTATCCAAAGAGGTACACACACATACACACACACAGCTATAGATAAATTAAAATGGAATTTTAAAATTATTTAGGAAGCAATGAAAAAGAAAACAAAGAAATGAAAAACAGAGAGAACAAACAGAAAACAGAAAATAAAATGTCAGACTTAAGCCTGGACATAACAATATTATAGGAAATATAAATCGCCTAAATACATCAATTTTAAGAGACAGAGCTTGGCAGAATAGATTTAAAAATATGACTCTGTCAGGTGCGGTGGCTCACGCCTGTAATCCCAACACTTTGGGAGGCCAAGGCAGGTGGATCACAAGGTCAGGAGATGACCATCCTGGCTAACATGGTGAAACTCCATCTTTACTAAAGGTACAAAAATTAGCCAGCTGTGGTGGCACAAGCCTGTAGCCCCAGCTACTCGGGAGGCTGAAGCAGGAGAATCTCTTGAACCCGGGAGGTGGAGGTTGCAGTGAGCTGAGATCACACCACTTCACACCGCTGCACTCCAGCCTGGGCAACAGAGCGAGACTCCGTCTCAAAAAAAAAAAAAAAAAGACTCAATTATTTGCTGTTTATGATAAACTCACTTCAAATATAATGATATAGGCGGTTTATAAGTTAAAGGATAGAAAAACATATATCAGACAAAAAATAATAAAGGGAGGCTATATTAATATCAAATAAACTTAGAACAAAGAAAATTACTAGAAATGGATAGGAACACTATGTAATAATAAAAGGGTAAATCTACCAAAAAGACATAGCAATCTTAAATATGTATGCACCAAACAACAGGGCTGCAAATTATGTAAAGCAAAAACTGATAGAACTGAAAAGAAAATAGGCAAGTCAACAATGATAGTTGAAGACTTCAATAGTTTTCTCTCAACAATTGATTAAACAAATAGACAAAAATTGAGAAAAAACATAGAAGAATAAACAACATCAAACCATAAGATCTAATCAACATTTATAGAACACACCACCCAACAACAGAAGATACATTATTTTCTTTTTCGTTGCTTTTAGTAGATTCCACGAGATTTTCCTTTTTCTTTTTTCTTTTTTTTCCTTTTATTTTAAGTTCAGGGGTACATGTGCAGGTCTGTTACATAGGTAAACAGTGTCATGGAGGTTTGTTGTACAGATTATTTCATCATCCAGGAATTAAGTCTAGTACCCATTAGTTATTTTTCCTGACCCTCTGCCTCCTCCCAACCTCCACCCTCCAATAGGCCCCAGTATGTGTTTTTCCTCTTTGTGTCCATGTGTCCATCATTTAGCCCCCACTTATGAGAACATGCAGTATTTGGTTTTCTGTACCTGCAATAGTTTGCTAAGGATAATGGCCTCCAGCTCCATCCATGTCCCTGCAAAAGACGTGATCTCATTATTTTTATGGCTGCATAGTATTCCATGGCAGAATACACTTTTTTTTTTTTTTTTTTTGAGATGGAGTTTCACTCTTATTGCCCACACTGGAGTACAATGGCACAATCTCGGCTCATTGCAACCTCTGCCTCCCAGGTTCAAGCAATTCTCCTGCCTCAGCCTCCTGAGTAGCTGAGATTACAGGCACACACCACCATGCCTGGCTAATTTTTTATTTATTTATTTATTTATTTATTTATTTATTTATTTTTTGTATAGATGAGGTTTCACCATGTTGATCAGGCTGGTCTCAAACTCCTGACCTCAGGTGATCCACCCACCTCAGCCTCCCAAAGTGCTGGGATTGCAGGCATGAGCCACTGCACCCAGCCAGAATAACATTTTTTTAAGTGCCCACAGAATATATGCCAAGATAGACCATATCTAAGACAATAAAAGACCAACAAATTTTTTAAATAAAATCATAAAGAAAGTGTTCTCCTACCACAATGGAACCAAACCAGAAATCAACAACAGGAAAATATCTAAACATTTGGAGACAAAACAACACACTTAGAAATACATGGGTCAAGGAGGAAGTCTCAAGGAAATTTTTTAAAAATACACACAATAAACACAACTAAACAAAAATGAAAATATGCCATATCAGAATTTGTGGGATACAGTTATAGTAGTTATAAGAGGTAAATTTAAGTTCCAGGATACATGTACAGGATGTGCAGGTTTGTTACATAGGTAAACATGTGCCATGGTGGTTTGCTGCACATATCAACCCATCACCTAGGTATTAAGACAAGCATGCATTAGCTATTTTTCCTGATGCTCTCCCTCCCTCCAACCTCGCCCCAGACAGACCCCAGTGTGTGTTTTTCCCCTCCCTGTGTCCTTGTGTTCTCATTGTTCAGCTCCCACTTATAAGTGAGAACATGTGGTGTTTGGTTTTCTGTTCCTGCATTAGTTTGATGAGGATAATGGCTTCCAGCTTCATCCATGTCTCTGCAAATAACAGGATCTCATTCCTTTTTATGGCTGTATAGTATTCCATGGTGCATATGTACATTTTCCTTATCCAGTCTGTCATTGATGGGCAGTTGGGTTGATTCCATGTCTTTGCTATTGTGAATAGTACTGCAATGAACATACAAGTGCATGTATCTTTATAATAGAATGATTTGTATTCCTTTGGGTATATACTCAGTAATGGGATTGCTGGGTCAAATGGTATTTCTGGTTCTAGATCTTTGAGGAATTGCCACACTGTCTTCCACAATGGTTGAACTAATTTACATTCCATCAACAATGTAAAAGCATTTCTATTTCTCCACAACCTTGTCAGCATCTGTTGTTTCTTGAGTTTTAATAATCACCATTCTGACTGGCGTGAGATGGCATTTCATTGTGGTTTTGATTTGCATTTGAGAAGTAAATTTAAAGCACTAACTGCATACATTGGAAAAGAGGAAAAGTCTCAAACCAATAATCTAAACTCTCACCTCAAGAATCTAGTAAAAGAATAACAAAATAAAAAGCAAGCAGAACAATGAAACTGAAAACAGAAAAACAAAAGCAAAAAAAAATCAATGAAGCAAAGAGCTGGCTCTTTGAAAGATTAATAAAATTGGCAAACCACTAGCAAGACTCAGAAAAAAAGACGACAGAAGATAGAAGCTACCAACATCAGAAATGAAATGGGATATCATCAAAGATTCTACAGACATCAAAAGGATAACAAAAGAATACTATGAACAATTCTACACACATAAATTTGACACTTAAATTAAATGGATCATTTTCTCAAAAAATATAAAGTGCCACAACTCACTAAATATAAAATAATTCAAAAATGTCTACACCTATTGAGGAAATTGAATTCATAATTTAAAAACTCACAAAAGGAAATATTTAGGAACAAATAGTTTCAATGAAGAATTCTACCAAAGATTTAAAGAAGAATTAACACCAATTAATCTCTTCCAGAAAATAGAAGCAGAGGAAGCATTTCCCAGTTTATTTTATAAAGCTAGAATTACCTCAATACCAAAACCAAACAATGACAATGGGAAGAAAAGAAAACTGTAGACTAATATTCCTCATGATGCAGCAATCTTTAACAAAATATTAGCAAGTGGAATTTACCAACATATAAAAAGAATTATATACAATGACCACGTGAGAGTTATCCCAGGGATGCAAAGCTGGTTGGATATTCACAATTAATTAATGTAATCCATCATATTATAGGCTGAAGAGGAAAATTTACTTGTTCATATCAATTGATGAAGAAAAAGTATTTAACCCACTTTAACACCCATTCATTATTTTTTTTTAATCTCAGAAATATAGGAGTAGAGGAGATCTTTCTTTACTTGATAAAGATCGTCTACAAAAATCCTATGGTGAACATACTTGATTCTGAAAGACTGAATAGTTTCTACCTAAAATCAGGAACAAGGCAAGAATGTCCACTCTCACCACTCTTATTCACAGTGTTGGAAGTTCTAGACAGTGCAATAGGCATGAAAAAGGAGATTAAAGGCATACAGATTGTGAAGTAAGAAATAAACAGCTCCCATTTGTAAGTGACATGATTGTCTATGTAGAAAATCACAAGGAAGCTACAGAAAAACTTCTAGATATGTGATTTCAGCAAATTAACAGAATACAGGATAAACCAGTATCAATTGTATTTCTACATACTCACAATGAACAAATGATACATATATATATATTTTTTTTTTTTCTTTTTTTTTTTTTTTTTTTGAGACGGAGTCTCACTCTGTCGCCCAGGCTGGAGTGCAGTGGCACGATCTCGGCTCACCACAAGCTCCGCCTCCGGGGTTCACGCCATTCTCCTGCCTCCGGAGTAGCTGGGACTACAGACGCCTACCACCATGCCCGGCTAATTTTTTGTATTTTTAGTAGAGACGGGGTTTCACCGTGTTAGCCAGGATGGTCTCGATCTCCTGACCTTGTGATCCGCCCACCTTGGCCTCCCAAAGTGCTGGGATTACAGGCGTGAGCCACCGCGCCTGGCCCAAAAATATAAATATATTATTTACAATTACTCAAATACATGAAACACTTATGTGTAAATCTAACAAAACATGCAAGACTTGCAAGCTAAAAACTATGTAATGCTGGTGAACGATATCAAAGAAGATCTATTCAGTCTCTATCTATGTGGAGAGAAATACTGTTCATGGATTGGAAGATTCAATATAGTAAATATGTCAATTCTCCCCAAACCAATATACAAGTTTAACACAATTCCAATCAAAATCTTTGCAAGATTTGTTAATTATAGGTAGGATTACTCTAAAATTTACATGGAAAGGCAAAGGGACTAGAATATCTAAAATATTCTTTTTTCATATTATTATATTTTATTGTAGTATGTGTAGTGTATACTAACTTAAAGGGAAAAAATGTAAACAAAATGAAAGACATGGGGAAAATGGCATCTTGCTTTAATCTTCAACTTAAAGTTACCCTTAACAATTCATTTATACCATTATGCCAAATTGTAGTCATCCCTGCAGAATTTTAGACAAATGAAAATGGACAAGGTAACACCAAAGAGATTAAGCACAGAAAGTGATATTGATTAAAAAGTTGAAAGTAAAATCTACCTTGGCTGGAACTGAACATTCAGATCCATCTCTAGAGGAAAATCTAACATGAATCATATGGTTCCTATTTTGACTAGTTCATAGCATATCAATTAGCAACTTATGACTTGAAAATACTTTTTCTCAGCTGCATTTGACTACCTAAAATCCTACCGAGCACGCTGTTTGGCATGTCTTACTCCTCTGAAATCATCATCTACTTTCTAAAAACCAGAAAATTAGTTTGCTTGTGATTTAAAATTCAAAAAAGTTTGTAGAAAACACAAAAAGAATCAACTATTTAAAGTCTCATCCTTTTCTTCTCTCTAAAACAGCTACTTCTACTAAAAGAAGAGTATGTGGATACTTTCTAAGAACTCAAAAACGAGAAAACCAAAATCAGAGGGTGCATGAATATATGTGCACAGGTATGTACAGATTTAATCTCTATATTCCCTAAAACATATTTAAACAGGTAATCCCAGCATTCTAAATTCAGAAAGCAAAAATAAACAGTTTTGTTTCTAAATCAGTGGTATTACTAGCTGAAATGTTTAGTAGAATACTGCACCTATAGTTCAGCAGTACTTTGATTATGTACCATTTAAGAAATCAAAATAATAAGCACATTCTTCTAACAGCAAAGAATTGTCCCACTTTTTATTTTGACATATTGATATTTCCATAAACTTGCAAGTGGAAAATAAGCTGTTCAATAAAAGCCTTCTTACATATATAATATACAGAAATTATTTTAGAAGTCTGTTCATATAACAGATTATTTTGGCACTAACAAAAATTGTATACAATCCATCAGTTGTATGGCTAGAAATGAAACCATCACTAAACCAAGACACACAGGGCTTTCCTGCACTTAGTTTCAGGAAAAAGTTCCAAGTAATTCTTACTGTGTTAGAAGAATAAAGTACATTTGTCATAGTATACATTATCATATTCCCTTAAAGCAGGGACTAAAGTTTTTAAATTAAACAATGTCCAGGCTTACTTCTGTCTGTACATTCAGGAATAATCATATCACTGGTTACATACAATTCTCTCCTCATGCAAAAAAAAAAAAAAAAACCTCAAAAAAAAAAAACCTGTTGTTTTCTTAAGTCTAATTAAGCCAAACAAACTATTAATAGCAATTTAATTAGCAAGCTATAAATCAGAGAGGTATAAAAATTCAGCAGTTAAACTGTATTTCCCACCTATAGTACTGCTGCTACTCAATCATTTTCTTCATGTATTAGAAGAATTAATAGGCATTGATGGTCAAAATAAGAATTTCAATATTGCAGCAAATGACAGAAGAGTGAGCGAAAGAGTTCCTAATGTGTGACAGTCTTAATGATTCTTTAAAAGGTAAAGGATTGTATGCATGTGTGTGGAAAGGAGTAGGAAATAAAAGTAGGAGGTTAAGACAGGTATTTAAAGGGAATGCCAAGATAGCTGCATTAGAATCTTTATTTTTTAAAAAACTGAAGTCTGCCCAGAGTACCAAAAACATTAAAAAAAAAGAGCAGACATTGGTGCAAGTTTAACCTGTGAGAAAAAAGCTAGTTTTGATGAGAAAAAGTTCAGTCTTTTCCTTGTAAATACAAAGAAATGCAACAGGAATTTTAAAGGTAGTAGGCCAGAAAATGTAACAGTAACTCTTACAATCCTTTTCTTTTTTTTTTTTTTTTTTTTTTTTTTTTTTTTTTTTTTTTGAGACGGAGTCTCGCTCTGTCGCCCAGGCTGGAGTGCAGTGGCACAATCTCGGCTCACTGCAAGCTCCGCCTCCCGGGTTCACGCCATTCTCCCTCCTCAGCCTCCCGAGTAGCTGGAACTACAGGCGCCCGCCACCATGCCTGGCTAGTTTTTTGTATTTTTTTTAGTAGAGACGGGGTTTCACCGTGGTAGTCAGGATGGTCTCGATCTCCTGACCTCGTGATCCACCTGCCTCGGCCTCCCAAAGTGCTGGGATTACAGGCGTGAGCCACCGCGCGAGGTCACAATCCTTTTCAATTAAACAGACAAATCAAGTTGAAGACAAGTGTTAAAATACTATTCAGCCTGAATATTTATCAGCATACATATCCTGTTGTTCAACTGGCTTTTGGTTAAAAAAAAAAAAGTCAACAAACTTTATAAGAGCTATCACCACATTTAGAGTGATGAAAATAAATTAGTTCCCCCCCAAAGATATTGTTTAACCTCTAAAGCATGAAAAGCTATATAATATACAAATTAACCAGTATTTTTACAAAAGTAATACAGTTTTGGACTGATGATATTACACCGTATTTGTGGTAAAGTACTAGGCACAAGAATATATATATCAATTAGGCATTTTCAGTCTAATCAGTCTTTAAGGTTTTCATTTAATTCTTGGCAATATATAATAACTGGTATGCACTTTGGTACTTAAGTCATGACTTGTGGAGAACGAGAAGCAATGTATTATAGCAACGGGGTTCATATCTAACAAACAATAAGAGTGTTGAACAAATCCCTTCTATGAACTTCGTGATTTATTTTGCTGTTGGTCACTTGCAGTAGATCCTTGATTTGATTCTTCCGTATTCATGCTTTCTCCATGTGCAGTCTCTAACATTTCTTCAACTTTGTCATCATCGTGTAGGTCTTTTGAAATTAATTGTCTAGCTAGTTTGATATTGAGTCCTTCATTGTAGTGAAGCGTCCTTCTCATTTCAAATTGTCGCTTTTTTTCTCGTTCTTCAGGTGAGAGGTCACTATCCTCCTCTCCACTGCTTTCTTGTTCCTGAACCTGATACTTTGGCTCCAAGCCTTCAGCAGCAGCTAAGTTCTTAGCCAAGCTATCTGTTGCCATAGCTTCAGTGGTTTCTGTATCACTACATGCATCTTCATCATCACCCATCGTACTATGGTAAGGAGTGCTTGGTTCATCTATTTTCATTAAACCATAGTCTTTGTCTGCTGGACGATATGTCGCCAGGATGTTCATTTCATCCCACTTCTGGGATTTTTTGCTCAGCTGCTCGTGGACACTCCCACGGGGATGTTCGGCCGACGCCACCATAGAGGAAGTCGTAGAGGTGTTGTCCTTCAGGATCCCCTTGAGGGGCCGTTGCGAGGCCGTGGAGGCCGCCATTGCCGGGTGCTCCGCCTGTCGGCTCAGGGTCGCTGCTTGGCGTGGGGTCCGCGAACAGAAGGGTCGGCACTAGCAGAGACCAGCAGGCAGACGCGGAGCCCGCTCAAGGCTAAAGCGGCCGCACCTGCTGCCTCGGAAAGGGGTACCGGAGCGGTTGTCAAGACACAATGACCCCGACGCCAGACTCAAGCGGGGAAAAGCGGGCCTAGAGCTCCAGGGCGGGAGCGACGCCGACGCCTAAAACATTCTTGAAAAAGAAGAATAAAGTGAGTTGAAAATCAGTCTGCCCTATTTCAAGTATTGTTTTATAGCTACAGTAATCAAGACTGTGTGTTACTAGCAGAGGAATGGACACACAAATCAGTGGAACAAAATAGAGAACGTAGAAAAAGACCCACACAATCTGCCCAAATGATTTTTGAAAGAGGTGCAAAAGGAAGTCAGTGGAAGAAAAATAGCCTTTTTCACAAATAGTGAATTGAACAATGGTGAAATGGAACAATTGGGCATCCATAGGCAAGATAATAAAATAAAAATGAAACTTGACCTAAGTCTCACGCCTTATGCAAAATTTAATTCCAACTGGATTGGATTGCTTGAGTCCAGGAGTTCAAGACCAGCCTGGGTAAGATAGCAAGACCCTGTCTATACACAAAAATGAAAAATAATGTTGGTGTGGTGGCTCCTGCCTGTAGTCCCAGCTACTTGGGATGCTGAGGCAGAAGGATTGCTTGAGCCCAGGAGTTCGAGGCTGTCATAAGCTGTGACACACCACTGTACTCTAGCCTGGGTGACTGAGCAAGACTCTGTTTCAAAAAAAAAAAAAAATGTCAGAGAAATGCAATACCTTAACCTTTACCAGATACAATTAATTAAAATAAATAAACAAAATGGATTATGGAGTAAATGTAAAGCATAAAACTCTTAAATTTTAGAAAAATAGAAAATATTTGAGATATAGGTCTAGGCGAAGAATTCTTAGGCTTGACATTGAGAGCATGATCTATGAAAGGAAAAACTGATAAATTGGATTTCATCAAAATGTAAAACTGTTGCTTTGTGAAGATCTGGTAAGTGGATGAAAAAATGAGCTACACAGTAGGAGAAAATATTTGCAAACTATGCATTGAACAAAGGACTAGTATCTAGAGTATATAAAGAACTCTCAAAACTCAACAAAGAAAACACATTAAAAATCCAATTAGAAAATAGGCAAAAGACTTAAGGTAATATTTCACTAAGGAGGATATAAAAATGGCAAATTAGCACATGAAAAGTTGTTCAACATCATTAGCCATTAGGGAAATGCAAATTAAAACCACAATGAGATCATCGCTCCACACCTATCAGGATGGCTAAAATAAAAATAGTGACAATGGGCTGGGTGCGGTGGCTCACACCTGTAATCCCAGCACTTTGTGAGGCCAAGGTGGGCAGATGACCTGAGGTCGGGAGTTTGAGACCAGCCTGGCCAACATGAAGAAACCCTGTCTCTACTGAAAATACAAAAGTAGCCAGGTGTGGTGGCACATGCTTGTAGTCCCAGCTACTCGGGAGACTGAGGCAGGAGAATCACTTGAACCCGGGAGACAGAGGTTGCGGTGAGCAGAGATCGCACCATTGTACCTAGCCTGGGCAACAAGAGTGAAACTCTTTCTCAAAAAAAAAAAAAAAGGCGACAATGCTAAATGCTGGCAAGGAAGAAGAGATACTGGATCTCTCATAATTTCTGATGGGAATATAAAATGGTACAGCCACTCTGGAAGATGATTTGGCAGTTTCTTAAAAACAAAACAAAACCAACAACAACAACAAAAATCCAACAACTAAGCATACTACTACCATCCTGCCCAGCAACTGTACTCCTGGGTATTTAGCCCCAAGAAATGAAAACTTGCATACACAAATACACAAGCACAGACAATGCCTTCACACAAAACCTTGTATGCAAATGTTTGTCTAACTGCCTACTCATTGTAGCCAAAGATAACCCAGATATCCTTTAACAGGTAAATGGTTAAACCAACTATTGTACACTTATACCATGAAATAATACTCAGCAATAAAAAAGAATGACTGATACACACAACAACCTGGATGAATCTCCAGAGAGTTATACTGAGTGAAAAATGCCAGTCCCAAAAGGTTACATACTGCAGTGAGCTGTGATCACGTCACTTCACTCCAGCCTGAGCAACAGAGCAAGACCCCATCTCTAAAAATAGATAAAGAAACAAAAAAGATGGATTACAGAGTAAATGTGAAGTGTAAAACTATTAAAATTTTAGAAAAATAGGAGAAAATCTTTGAGATGTAGGGCCAGGCAAAGAATTCGTAGGCTTGACATCAAAAGCATAATCCAGGCTGGGCGTGGTGGCTCACGCCTGTAATCCCAGCACTTTGGGAGGCCGAGGCAGGCAGATCATTGAGGTCAGGAGTTCGAGACCAGCTGGCCAACATGGTGAAACCCGTCTCTACTAAAAATACAAAAATTAGCTAAGCAAGACGGCACATGCTTGTAATCCCAGCTACTCGGGAGGCTGACTCATGAACATCACTCGAACCTTGGAGGTGGAGGTTGCAGTGAGCTGAGATGGTGCCACTGCACTCCAGCCTGGGTGACAGAGTGAGACTCTATCTCAAAAAAAATAAATAAATAAATAAAATAAACTTTATTGAAAAGAAAAAAAAAGCACAATCCATTTGTATAACATTTTGTATTAAGAAGCTTGAAATGACAAAAGTACAGAAATAGAGAAAAAATTCATAGTTGCCAGTGGTTAAGGAAGTGATGGGGGTGGGAAGGAGGTGAACCGACCATAAAAGGGCAAGATAAGGGATACTTGGAGTGACAAAAATACTGTCTTGACTGTAATATTGACATTGACACAAATGTCAATATCCTGATTGCAATACTGTACTGAAGTGTTATAAGATGTTACCATCAGGGAAACTGGATTAAAGGGTAAAAGGTTCTGTCTGTATTATTTCTTACAACTGCATGTCACTCTCTAATTACCTCAAAATAAAAAGTTAAATTTAAAAAACATGTATGAGGATGTGCATAGTTTTTCAAAATACATTTAAGAAGTTCATGAGTGGAAAGTTTGAGTGAATAAAAATTATATCTGGAATTCTGGTTTGCAAATTAGCCTGGGAAATGTAGCCTGACTCAGTGTGACTCAGTTCTATACCACTGTTCTCAGCTCTGCTGTTGCTCACTGCTAACGTTGAAGCCAAATATCTCTTGAGTTGCAGGGCAACCAAGATCCCATGATCCAATGTTGCTCTCACTCACCTTGGCCTTTGAGAGAGAACAGGAAAGAAGATGGAGAAGAAGGATTTTCCCTTTGCCCCATTTTCCTCTTTTTGGGCTGAACTGTGTCCCCCTATAAGTTCATAATGTTGAATAAACCCAGTACCTCAGAACGTGAATTTTTTTTGGAGTTAGAGTCTTTAAAAAGATAATTAAGTGAAAATGAGGTTATGAAAGTAGGTCCTAATATAGCTAGTATCCATATAAAAAGAGATTAGGACATACATACACAGGGGGCAGTCCATAGGAAGATGCAGGGAAAAGACAACCATCTGCCAGCCAAGGACAGAGACCTCGGAAGAAACCAACCCTGCTGACACCTTGATCTCACATTTCTAGACTCCAGAGCCAGGCGGCAATAAGTTTATGTTGTTTAAGCCATTCAGTCTGTGGTATTTCTTATGGTAGCCCTAGCAAACTAATACATCCTCCTATATTTGGACATAGGCCTGTCCTTCTTGATTAAAGGAATGTAAAAATAAGACTGTTGTCAAAGTTTTAACAAGACTTTATGAAGGCTTGGGCAAAATTGAAAAGGAAAAGACAATAGAAAATTCTTCCATTCTGATCACAGATATTACAGATGTAAGAGATCACAGGCTCCAGTCATCTAAGGGTTCTCCAACTAGAAATAGACCTGGTATGGCTGATGCTACTAATACCTGCCATGTTCCTTGGGCCTTACCACTGTAGTGCACACTGGCTGGACATTTGCATCATTCCTGAAGGCTTCCTCAAAGCCAAGAAGGGCCACTCTGCCCGACTCACAGCAGACTAGAAGGGCCGAAGAGTTCACGTGTCAGGCAGCAGCCTTCAACCAATGGGAATTGATGTACAATTGCCCAACTCCCTCCTTCCGTGGCTGGGTTAACTCTGAGGCAAGTGCTTTCCCAGAATTTCCCCAGGGGATTAAGTTCCAGTCATTCACCCTTCGTTGGCTGTTTTCCCTTCCCAATCTTTTACTCAGCTGCTACTGAAGTTTCATGCACCTCCAAAATAAATTACTTTCATTCATGTCCCTGTGTCAGGGACTGCTTCTGGAAGAAACCAAACGAATGCACCCCGGGTTAGCTTCTAATTTGCTTCACAGCAGTAAAGGTCAACTTTTCTTTGCATTACCCAAGAGAAAACTTAGCCATTACCTCATCATGGTGCTTGGATCCCTAGAACCCTGTCTCTCATGAAACCCTGATTCCTTCCTTTCCTTGTCAAGATCTTTCCTTACCCAGCATGGATGACAGTCCATTCTATTGAGTACTAAGAAAAGAGAGTTTAGAAACTGTCAGAAATATTTTTATTTCATTCAAATTTGTAATATTCCGTAGACCAGAAACAGCACACTCTTTGATCCCATCCTTGTATGCCCAAAATATCTGAGTTGGAGGAGGCACTGACCCTCTGTCACACAGTTTAACTGGATTACAGAGTGCAAGACCCCAAAACCAGTTCCTGACACTCTTTCTGTCTTCAGCCTGTGGATTCTTATCACTTCCACAGAAGAAAATTGGCTCTAAGATTATCCGGAGTACTTCCCAAATCTATTATTTATGGAACAAGTGCTGACTTCAGATATCTAGTAATCTAAGGTTTTTCATCTCCAAAGACCTTTCTTTCATTTGGCCTCTACTGGGTTTTCTATTTTTTTTATTTATTTATTTATTTATTGAGACAAGGTCTCACTCTGTCACCCAGGCTGGAGTACAGTGACCTGAACATGGCTTGCTGTATCCCTAACCTCCTGTGCCCAAGCAATCCTCCTGCTTCAGCCTCCTGAGTAGCTGAAACCACAAGTGAGCGCCACCATGCCCAGCTAATTTTTTTTTCTTTACTTTTCTTTTTTTTTTTTTTTTTTTTTTTTGTAGAAACTGAGTCTCGTCATGTTGTCCGGGCTGGTCTTGAACTCCTGGGCTCAAGCAATCTTCCTGCCTTAGCCTCCTAAATGGTTAAAGGCATGTGACCATCACACCTGGCCTACCATGGTTTTCAAATGTAAAATTTTAAATGAAAAATCTTAATCTTTTGGTCATTGCTGTTTTGCTGTGGTCTGTCTCCCATGGCATGAGGGGAAATGCGTTATCTGCCTCTGTTGTAGAAAGATGCCTGAGGAAAATAATCCTCAGTTGATGTCTCAGGATTTTTCCTGCCATATACCTGGAATGTGTAAAAGCACAGGAAATATCCTAGTATAACACAAACTACACACAGTTACCTTTGGGACCTAGAATGGAATGGGGAGGAGGGAGAAACAAAGGAGACCTTTTACTCCGTACCCTTCTGTATGGTTTGAACTTGTTGTTTTTTTTTTATAGACGGAGTCTTGCTCTGTAGCCCAGGCTGGAGTGCAGTGGCACAATCTTGGCTCACTGCAAGCTCCGCCTCCTGGGTTCACGCCATTCTCCTGCCTCAGCCTCCCGAGTAGCTGGGACTACAGGCGCCCGCCACCACGCAAGGCTAATTTTTTGTGTTTTTAGTAGAGACGGGGGTTTCACTGTGTTAACCAGGATGGTCTCAATCTCCTGACCTTGTGATCCGCCCGCCTTGGCCTCCCAAAGTGCTGGGATTACAGGTGTGAGCCACTGCACCCGGCCGGTTTGAACCTTTTATAACAAGAGTGAATCCAGATATTTACTATGTAATTTTCTCATTTAGTCTAATCATTTAGACTAAATGATTAGAAGAAGCAGGACTTAAAAAGAAATGAATGAATTTCCACTAGGGGGTGGTAGAGAATCATAATCCATATCATAGTCTGAAACTGAAGGGCAAAAGGAAATAGTCAAGTTCAGAATCACATGCTGCAGCCCATTTGTAATTATAAATCTTTATTAACTAGCTCAGTGTGAGATCTAATTTCTTCATAAATGCCCAATAATATATAATATGCTCTTTTGAGCAACGCTTTTCAGATTATGTTCTCATACAGCCTTTTACAGCCCTTTACAGCTTTTCTGTAAACTGGGCTGAGATGTACCACTAAATGAAATTGAATGATAGGAGTCCATTGTGGTTGGAATAGATACACACAGTGATTGATTTAGGTAGATTAGAAGGTGGATGGATGGATAGATAGATAGATAGATAGATAGATAGATAGATAGATAGATATGCGCACACACATTCCTCTCCTTGAGTCCCCCTGGGTAAGCCGAGGCATGAGTACTCTGAAGGAAAAGCAACCATGAGTGAGCTGCAGCATCCTTACTTAACCTCCAAACTTAACCTTTGTTGTAATATATATAGAAAAATGAGTTCCGAATTCCCTCCTTAATCTCCAACATGCAGGCACTATGCCTCTGCCCAGTTTCTTTACCCATGCCTTTTATTATATCCCATCCCCAACTGAACCCTATCTCGACCTGGTCAATAGGTGTGAGACCCAGATATTCTTATCCGGGAGATGCTATTTCTTTTTTTCCAGAGGCCAGAGGTGGTTTTTAGTAACCACCTGTATCATTTTGCAGGGGCTTCTTAAATGCGTGGCCAGACTCACCTCACTGTGCCTAGGTGCCAATATGGCCTCTCAGCTTTATTCCCCTTGCAATCCAAAATCTGCCAGAACTGGACAGCAGTTTGATCCTTGAATTAGACCGTGGTTCATGATGCTTGCTTCTCACCCTCCCACCAGCTGTGCTTTATTTTTCTTTGATTCTAACTATTACAGAAAAGACAAGTCAGACTCCTTCATCGCTGGGCAAAGTTCCAAGTAAACTGCATTGGGAATCCTTGGCATTTTAACAATGGCTCACTGCTCCCCTTGTGACTAATGGGCAACACAGGCCTGTTTATGAGTTCAAGTCTCTGTCCCTGGATCATGTAATTTTAATTGTTCTGTTACTTCATTTCAATCCTGGTCCCCACAGCATTTTTCTCACTGTTCATTTTCAAATTTAGTGTCCAACCTATTACTGTGTGCTTTTCTTAATCCCTAGACCAAGCACTCTCTGGCTTGCTCATTTTCCCACTTGGGCACCCTGGATCCCAGCCAGAGGTGGCCCTTACCACTTGGCTCCTCCCTCAGTGCCCTTGGACCTCTTTGGCTCGTAACTGCTTCTGCTGAAGGTCATCCTTTTGGCTCCATGATCTTCATGGCTGAGGTTGCTTCATTACTTCTGGAGGGAAATCTTGCTGCTTTCTGTAAACATTTTTTTCTCATGGCATATTTATGTGGAACTGTGCCATTTCTTTTCCTACTTATTCTGAATAAATTGAGCATTCCTGGACCAGATATTAGTGGAAGACTCCTATTGGATGGGGGTGGGATGATGGGTTGGTGAGAGAAGACATGGGCAATAGTAACCTCCCAGGTTTTACAACCGAAGGACCAATCCTTTATTACTAACACGTAAACTTTATCTTAAAATACGCTGCATCCATGTTTTTTCCAACTTGGGGAATTTAATCTATTTCAGCAAGGATTCTACCACGGTGTTAGGACCCCCTGCATTCCAGAGGGAACCTTTGTTATCTGCCACCTTGGAACCTCCAAAACAAAGTCTGCTCCCCCAATATGTGGGCCTTCTTCTGCCTTCCCCAGCATCTGGGCCTCACTGTAGCTCAGGCCAACTGCCAACAGCTCCAACCTAGGCTGGCTTCTACTCTTAGAGAGAGAATATTTTCGGGCCCTTTCCGAGATCCCGCACCACTAGTTCCCTCCACGCTTTCATCTGTTGCCACAGCAACATTTTGGCTTCTTATGCCCAGTTCTGCTCTCCGTTGCTTTAAGCACAAATGACATGCAATTTGGGATGTAACCATACTTTTTGTTTCCTAGTTTCACTAAAAATGAGGTTCTTGTGTGGTTTTCTTTTTCATTCTCTTTGCTGTACTATATAGAGAAATGAATTCTGAACTGAATTCCCTCCATATTCCTAGCAAAAACATAACTCCTTTGAATTGCAATTTTGATTTCCTTTTCAACCCAAAAATTAGTGAGATGTTTTTAAGTTTCCAAGTGGAGGCTTTCTTGTTAGTACTGTTTTGGTGAGGTTTTGTTTTGTTTTATTTTAGTTTTGTTTTGTTTTTCTATGTATGTGTTTTATACCGGTGAGAGAATATAGCCCGTGTAGTTTCTAATTTCTATTTAATTTTACTTTGTGGTTTAATGCATTATGTTTGGGAAAATATGCATTCACTATTTGTTGAGTACACAATTTTATAAATATTTGATAAGATCATTATTTGCTTTAGCAAAATATCTTACATTCACATTATTTTACAATTGGATATGACAGTTTAGTTTAAAAGTATGCTAAAAGCTCTTAAATGTGTCAATTTATCTTTCCTAACAAAGCACATTTTTTTCCCTAACTTTCAAAGACTTGTTTAGGATATGAAGGCTTATAACTTATGGGTAGTTGGTGAATTGTACATTTTAGCATAATAAAGTATCCTTCTTTGACACTGAAAAATTTCTTCATCATTTATTCTACTTTGTTCAATATTAGTATTTGTAATGGTTTGAATGTGTCCCCAAAAAGCATATGTTGGAAATGTAATATTCAATGCAACAGTGTTAGTAGGTGAGGCTTAATGATGAGAGGTGTTTAGGTCATGACGACTCCATCCTCATAAATGAATTAATGCCAATTACAAAAAGGCTAAAAGCCTGTGAATTCAACCTGTTGCACTTGGGCGCTCTCTCTTTCTCTTTCTCTCTCTCAGCTCTCTTTTTATCCCTTTTGCCTTCCACCACAGTATGAGGCAGCCAGAAGATTTTTGCAAGATGCAGGCCTCTCAACCTTGGATTTCCTAGCCTCTAGGACTGTAATAAGTCAATCTCTGTTCTTTAAAAATTATCCAGTCTTGGATATTCTATTATAGCAGCACAAAATGGAGTAAGACAGTATTTCTATCCATAATTAATTTTTGTTAGCATTTGCCTGAGTTTATCATTGTCCATTGGTTTAATCACTCGGTGTCATTTTGTTTTAGGTGCTTTTTGTTTGTTTTTGTTTTTATTTTGAGACAGGGTCTCAGTCTGCCGCTCAGGCTGGAGTGCAGGGGTGCGACTACGGCTCACTGCAACCTCAACCTTCCAGGCTCAAGCGATCCTTGCACCTCAGTTTCCTCAGTAGCTGGGACTACAGGCATGCACAACCACGCCTGGCTAATTTTTTTATTTTTGTAGAGATAGGGTCTCGCTATGTTACCCAGGCTGATCTCAAACTCCTGGGCTCAAGTGATCCTCCCTCCTTGGCCTCCCAAAGTGCTGGGATTACAGGTATAAGCCATTGCCACCAGCACTTTTTGAATAGCAAATACACACACACACACACACAGACCATCTTTACTGAGCAGAAAAATTTAGATTTAATGCAATGATATAAATGGACATTACAAATGCATATATATCTGGATTACTTCTGCCATCATATTTTTATATTTACCATGTTTTTTCATTTTTTAGTCTTCTGTCTCAATAAATTTCATCAAATTGCCTTTGTTACTTCTGTCTCTATGCAAATGATTTCTTATACATCTTTTTCCTTTTTTCTTATGATCCAGTTTTTGAAATATTTTTCTACAAATAAGTAATGCATGTGATGCATATCTACAAGAATTTTAAGCATCCATTTTTTCCCACCAGTCACATGAAGGAATGGAACGTTACCCTTAACATTAAAGTTTCCTGTATTTGTCTTCCCTTAGAATCTCCCTTCCTCTCTGCAAAATGCAACTATTATTCCAAATTTGGAGTTGATCATTATCTTGCTTTTCATCATAGTAAATATTGTCTTTGTCTGACAACAAATTAACATCATAATTAATATCAAAATGTAGTTTTCTGTTGTTTTCTTCATTCAACAATATGATTTTAAGAATTATGCAAGTTTATTATTTTATCTGTATTCCACTGATCTTGATGTTGCATAGAATTCCACATTATGATTATGCCAAAATTTGTGTATCAGTTTACCTGCAAATGGACACTGGGTTGTTTCCAGCTTTTTGCAATTACAAAGAATGCTCTCATGACTTTTCCTGCACATTGCTCTTGGTGCCTTATTCAATAATTTCCCTAAGGTGCATATATATTTAAGGGTAGAGCTGCTATGCTTTAGGATATTCTCAGCTTCAACTCTACAAAATGCCAATTTTTTTCCAAGTAGATTATTTCAGTTTGAAGTCCACCATCAGAGTATGAGTTCCCCTCACCCTACATCCTCATTGATTTTTGATAATGTTAGACTTTTCAATGTTTGTCTATTTAGTGATTTTAAAATGTTATTTCAAGGACTGTTCTAATTCACAATTCTCTGATAACTATTGTGAGCTTAACTTTTGTACGTTTATTGGTCTTTTATATATCCCTTTTTGTGAACTGCCCTTTCACATCTTTTGATCATTTTCCTATGGGGCTATTCTTAGATGTTCTGGATATTGATCCTATGTAAATTATGTGTGATATAAATAAGTTTAGATTGTGGCTTTTTTTCCTTTAGAGTGTGTTTTGATTAAAGTTTCTAATTTTAATGTGGTCAAATTTATTCATCTTCTCTTAACATTTTTGTTTTTAAAATGTGTATGTGTGTCTTTTTAATAAATATTTTTCTACCTTGAAGTCATACAAATATTTCTTTCACATTTTCATTTAAAAGTTTTACAGTTTTGCCTTCAATACGTTGGTACTTAGTTCATCTGGAATTTATTATGATGTATATATATCCACTAATCCAGTGTCATAAATTCAAACTTATTGAATTATACATCCTTTACCCACTGGTCTTTAATGACCATTCTTCACATACAAGGGGTCCTGACACTCTTTCCATTCTATTCTATTGGCCCAGTTGTCTACTCCCTCTCTCACCAATAATAGCACATGGTCTTAAATCCAGTGGTGTATATAATATCTTCTCATGTAGTCAGGAAATTCCCCAACTTCCTCTTTATTTTCAATGGTATTTTGGCTCTTCTTGAACTTGTGTTCCTTCGTTTCATTTTAATATCATTGTGTCCAATTCTATAAAACATTTTGTTGAAATTTTTCTAGAAATAGCATGAAACTATAGATCACATTGGGGAAAACTGGCATTTTAATGATATTGATGCTTCCTAACCATGAATGTATCTCTCCATCTGTGCAGTACTTCTTCAACTTCTTTTAATGATTTTAATTTTCCCCACTAAGATCTTGCATGCCTTTCCTTTTTGAGAATTTATTCCTGATTACAGTGGACCCTTCAACAATGCGAGGGTTAGTAGCGCTGACCACCTGTGCAGTCAAAAATCTGCACATAATTTTTGACTCCTCCAAAACTTTACTAATAGCCTACTGTTGATCAGAAGTCTTACCAATAACATAAAGTTATTTAACATATATTTTATATTTTTATGTGTTATATACTGTACTCTTACAGTAAAGTAAGCTAGAGAAAAGAAAATGTTGGCCAGGTGCGGTGGCCCATGGCTGTAATTCCAGCAGTTTGGGAGGCTGAGGCAGAAGTGCTTGAGACAAGGAGTTGGAGACCAGCCTCAGCAACATAGCGAGACCCCATCTCTACAAAAAATTAAAAATTTAGCCAGGTAGGGTGGCGTGCACCTGTAGTCCCAGCTACTTGGGAGGCTGAGGTGGAGAATCGCTTGAGCCCAGGAGGTTGAAGCTACAGTGAGCCATGATAACACTGCACTCTAGCCTGGGCAACAGAGCAAGACCTTGTCTCAGAAAAGCAAAGAAAATGTTATTTAAAAAATCATAAAGAAGAGAAAATATATTTACTATTCATTAAGTGGAAGTGGAGCATCATAAAGGTCTTCATCCTCATGTCTTCATGGTGAATATGCTAAGAAGGAGGAAGGGGAGGAGAGGTTGGTCTCGCTGTCTCAAGGGTGGCAAAGGCAGAAGAAAATCATATATAAGTAGACCTGCACAGTTCAAGCCCATGTTGTTCAAAGGTCAACTGTACTGTAAGTTTGTTATATAAACCAGTTAATCACATTTCTACTTTTTTGTTTTTATAGAAAATGCAATAGATTTGTTTATATATTTAGCCAACCACTGTGCCAAACTCTTAATTCTTATGTTTTAGATTATTTTTCTCTGTAGACAATTGTATCATCTATGAATAATGAAAGTTTGCTTTATTTCATTCCTATCCTTCCAACTTTTTTTTTGGTCTGTTGTTAAAAGCCCCCCTATCCCATGCCTAAGTAATAAGTAATCTCAATATTACATTCCATCTCATATAATAAAATTTGACTTCCTAAAAGGGCTTGCTTCTTTTTAATTCAATGTCAATGCTGGAATTTCAGTTCTTAGCCTTGAAACCCTGGTGAAAAAATTCTCAGCAAGGTAAGAAGGAAAAAAATGTTCTCCCCTGCTCCTGAAGCTGGAGAGAACAATAAATGAAAACTGTTGTCATAAATGGTTATTTCTAACAATTTTTCAAACCCCTAGACTTCAAATATTTTGGACAGGACCTGACAAAATGACCCTTAATCTGTAAAACATCTGTACTTTTGACCACTCATCTTTCTTAATAATTCAGTTCTCTGGTGATAATGTTTGAGCTTAAAATCTCTATCTTCAGAAGGTAACGTGATTTGTGAATTTTCTGTCAAATCAGGAAAGAATCACTGGCATTGCCCTCTTCCCACACATGCATAGGATAAAATAGCTCTACTGGACTTTTTATTAATCAAAGAGCCCGAGAGACAGCTGAATGGCTGAACCAAGCAGAGAGTGGAAACTTGGGGAGGGTAATTCCTTGCTGGGCCTTAAAAGGAGTCCACAAGATAGGAAAAAAACGAAAAAGCCAAATAAGATGAACCTCTATTCAGGCCCCAATGAGAGGCTGCTTGACTCTGATCTTTCGTTAGCTGGCTCAAAATTTTGTTCTTAAAGAATTATTTTTACTCAAAATCAAGAACTGTTAGAAAACAAGAAAAATTATGGAGTTTTGTTGTTGATTTCCACCTCTCTACATATATATATGAAATACATATCTCCTCCCGATACACATGCACACACGCAAAAACATATTTAACTGAAACAACGGTTTCATGAAACTATAGTTACTCTCATTACCTGTGATGCAGGCAAGTATTTTCAATTGTATTTTATTCTATTTCATTCTACTTGGAAAAAAAGTCTTTTGGTCTCAACATAAATGGGTTCTGACCTGCAGTTTCAAGCCAATACGTTACAGTAAGAGTAAATGTAGGGTTTCTCCCAGTTTTATCTGGCAGTCCCAAAGTCAGGATCAGAGTAACCGATGGAGCATCATTTGTACGCTCCACGTCTGAGGAGGAGGTCTGGGAAAAGATCCAACGTGTAGGACTGGCGCAGAGGCTCAGGCCTGTAATCCCAGCACTTTAAGAGGTGGAGGCGGGAGGATAACTTGAGGTCAACAGTTCGAGACAAGCCTGGCAAACATGGTGAAACCCCGTCTCTACTAAAAATACAGAAATTATCCAGGCGTGGTGGTGCGCACCTGTAGATCCAGCTCCTCGGGAGGCTGAGGCACGAAAATCGCTTGAACGCGGGAGGCGGAGGTTGCAGTGAGACAAGATCACACCACTGCACTCCAGCCTGGGCGACAGAGCGAGACCCTGTCTCAAATAAAAAAAATAATAATAATAATCCAATGTGTCCCTAGTCTGGCTTTCAGGGTCTTAGATGAGGTTCGGAAGTGGACTTAGGAGCCTTAGGAGCGCAGCCAGTGCTGTGGATTCCCACATCCACGGGACCTGCGGTTTCGGGTTATTCCATTCAGGGATACATGACGTCCCTCATTTCTACCTACCAGTGGGCTGGTCAAGATTCTCATTTATCAAGTCAGTTGGAGTGGGCTTAAGTAAGTTCTCAGCCAAGGCTGTGGGGTCTGGAGGACCAGATATCCCGACCAAAAGCCCCCCCTCCCATTCCTTTCACACGCCTGCCGCAGAGGTGCACGGGTGCGAGTGGGGAACTGAGGCAAGAAGCAGATGGGGCGGCACCGAGAGAAGAGAAACTACGCTAGAGGAAAAGCTCGAGCTGTTACCCCTCCCAACTTCTTCCGCCTTCCGCCTTCCCCCTTCCCCCTCTTTCCCCTCTTGCCCCTCTCCAGCTTTTCTGGTCCAACCCTCTTCTGCGCCTAACACTGGCACCTCCTTTTCTTCCGGCTGATGAATAATTGTCCGCAAACCAGCCTCTCTGGGGCACTGAGGGGCGGGAAGGTTAGAAGGAGCCAGGGCTAGAGTCCTGGAAGGTGGCAGTCAGGTCGCAGGGCCACAGCAGTCACTCTGCGACTCTCTCTTCCGGTGTTTCTCCAGCGCCAAGCGGGAGAAGACGGAGCCTGGGAGCTGGGACTGGAGGAGCGGGAAGCGCAGTATCGGGACCACGGCTCTGGGACCAGGAAAAACGCAGACTCTCCAGAGTCAATGTCTACTTCAGCCAGCTCAAGGGCGCGACAACCTGGCGCCGAGCATCTCAGGCCGCCGCGGGGACCCCCCCTAAGGGACTCGGGAACACCTGCCTACCCTAGAAGAGGCGGAGAATAACCCCGTAGGGAGTTAAGCGGCCTCTGCCTACAGCGTTCCTCCCGCCTCCACGGCGCCGAGCCCTGATTGACGTTCAGCCAGGCCAATCATAGCCTGTGTCTGAGGCGCGCGGAGCTGGAGCGCCCAGGGCATGTCCGCCGATCCCAAGGAGGCAATCTGTCAGGCGCCGCCCGGGCGGCAGTATGCCTGAGGGGGTCCTCCGTGTTCGCGCCTCCCGCCGCCTGCACTGAAAGGTCTGTACCTGAGCCTGGATACTTGAACAGAGGCAGACACTGCGGCTCAAAACCCCAAGGGTAGGTACCTATTGTGCGGAGTCTCGGAACGCCTGCCTGGAAGAAGAGTTCCGGCGGCTCCCCGAACGCTTGGAGAAAGCGCTTGGATGCAGTTGCAGGGTGAGATTTGAGACGGTGATTGTGTTTTCCAGCAGGCGCTCAGGCGGGGTGGTGAAGGAGGGATACAGACCTCTAAAGATTCCTCTCTCGTTGGGGTGAGGTGGGGAACAGCAGTGACAGTAGTTCTCATCCCTGAGCCTCCTCCGGGCCGGCCCGTGGAGGAGAGAGAAGGGGAGGGAGAAGGGTTTGCCCAGGCCTTCAGACACTTTACTTTGTGGGAGATGTATGTGCTGAGTGTCCCTGCTCTGGAGGGATTGTTAAAGAATCCAGGTTCTTGGGGAGTGTCTCAGGAGAACACTCCAGGTGATATCCTTATTCTTCCTATTTTCACCGTGTTGGTTTTTTTTTGGATATAACTTGTTCCCTTTAACCCGAGGTGGCCTTGGTGTCTGGCAGCTGTTTTCTCTGCCAGGCACCACCCTCTGGGCCTCACGTCTTCATCCCTCAAGTCCGCTGCCTCTGAGCTGCTACTTAGATCTGGTCTGTTTCTACCTCTGCTGGACCAGAAGTTTGCATTAACGCCCCCACCCCATCCTGCAAGACCGGCGCTTCCAACCAAGGGCTCTCTCCTCTGAACCTAGAACCTGCTTGGAAATCGAGTATTTCCTCTATGCCCAGGTGGAGATTGATGTTTGGGTTTCACATCTCCCAACTCTGTTGGGTACTATGTCGTTTCTCAGCTTGGTTGTATGTGCCTCCATTGAGTGGACCGTATCTCCAGAATTTCTCCTAACCCTCCCAGTGTACTCCCCTGCAATCCTTTCTTTTTTTCTCCAAATCCCCCACCCCCCACCAGAAATGACTTTACCCCTGTGCCACTTATTTTGGCCTGGAGCACTAAGGAGCCATACTACACCCAATGCCAGAGGTGGAACAGAAATGAGGTTTGAAATGGGAACCAGAAGCTAATCTGTGGGAAATTCTTTTACTCCTCAGACGTGTAAAGATGTGTTGGAGACTCTCGTAAATATGTATTCAGTAATGCAGCATATACAGTGATCACCATGTATTCATTTTTTATGGGAATCAACAATTCAGAATGATCAAAAATCCCTGTGTGTAGAGACATGAATCTATAGGAATATCACACATAGTGAGCACAACTGTGAGTGAAATCCCATGTTTCATGCATCCCAGCAGTCCCAAAGGGAGCCTCCAAATGTGTACGGGATTCAGACTCCATGTAACCTGCATCTGTCTATGCACTAGCTATGTGAGCTGTTACCTCAGTCTTGATGAGGTTACTCAGGAAGTCTGGGATCTTGATTTTTGCCGGTCACTGATCACCTGGCTACAGGAAAGGAGACCTAAATCCAGAACTTAAATTTATGAACACCAGGTCTGTAGGCACTAGACCTCAGAAGTAGGTGAGTAGGTGGCTATTGGTTGGTCCCTTCTGGAGTGAGGCAGAGATACCTATGCCATATGCAACATAAAAGGTTGCCTGAGCCCCTCAGCCTGAGGTAGAGTAAGGAGGGAGAGGTGGAGAGGGACTTTCTTCTCAGACCAGGGAAATCAGAAGCCATCAGATGCCTTCAGTAGGGAATCCAGCACAAAGAGGATCATAAGTCATCTCCCCACTTCTCTATAGTCATCATAGACGTAATTGCTAACCTACCCTTCCTTGGTGCTCTGGTTAGTAGAGTGAAGTTGAGATAATATAAATGAAAAAACTGAGCAGAAAGGGAGTGAGGATACGGGGCCTCTTCAGTTTGCCTTATGGGCTTCCCACTCTAAATAGATGAGGTACACAACATTCTGGCAGTATCACACTAGGGCCAGAGTTGGTAGCTCACAGATGTACGATAGAGGATGGAAGGAGTATGCCTCTCAGGCAGGCAAGTTTAGCCTGGTAGACAGAGGATGTGGCTTAAAAGTCACTGCCTACAAGACCAGTGCATGCAAGTGAGTCCCTGCTGCTGCTTGGATCAGAGGAGGTGAGGCAGAAGGCTGATGAAAACCCACCAACTGATGGTCAGTCCGAGAAGCAGTCAAGATGGAGAACTGCAAAATTAACAGCTTAAGTTTTCCAGGAGTCTCAGTGCCCAATGTCAGGTCTACCAGGGATGTCCAGCCCCTCTGGTCAGAGCCCCAGGAGCCTTGTCTGAATGTGGATCCCCTCTGCTTATTCAAAGAGACCTGGGAAGCTGAGCCAGGAACCTGGATAATGACCAGAAAGTCACCCAGACACCTGAGAAATGCCTCCCTTATATCCAAGAGATCCCTGTGTGTAGAACACATGAATCTATTGGAATATCACACACAGTGAGCAGACTCTTCTTACACTTACTAAACTCTCTTCGTAGATTTACTAAATTTTTCACCAGTGACTCAATGGAGCGAAACCAGGTCCCAGACTCGATTTAAAAAAAAAAACCACACACACACACACACAAAAAGTTCTTTAGGTGAGCATGTATGCATGTGTAAATGGTACTATACAATGGTATGATTGGATAGTCAAAGGAATATCTAACCCAAGTGTACATAAGGAGTAAATTTGGAGTCAGAGGAAGTTGGTCATTGTAGGAAAGTAACTGCTGCAAGAAAGATTTCTTAGAATGTAACTGTCTAATATGAGGCATTTATGCCTCTTTTCCTCCATGTTTCTAGTTTCTGCCTTGGGTTTGGCATTTATTGTTTATCCTGCTTCAAGTATAAGACTAGTGGTTTATTCGAGGGCCCACAACTTCCACTTCTACCCTGGCGTCACACAGATCATTTTCTCTTCTCAAGTCATTGTATTTTCACTGGTAGTAAAAGAGGATAATATCTTCATCTTCAAATAAATTAGTGGGAGGGATTCAAATTATGAGGGAAAAGAAAAATTGGTTCTTCTGCTGTAGGGAAGGGTTACTGAAAATTAAAGGACAACCTACTGAGCTGAAGAGAGCTTTGGGGTTTGGTAATTTGGGGTGTGAGGTGGATCTTCAGGAATGCCATGGGCTTCAAGACTAGTGTGTCTCTCCCTTAGTATGTTCCTCCTCAGTTTGAAAGGACTTCCTGGTAAAGGACTGAAAGAAATGTCCACTCCATCATGTCTCTGCTGACACCTAGCTTCTCTTCTCCAGTTATAAGTCCATTTTCCTACTGGGGTAACACAAGAAGGAGGAAGAATAGCTCAGGGGTCTTCCCTTCACATCTCTCCTACAAGGATTGTGAAATGTCATATGCCTCCTCCCATAGACTTAGATAGACCTAAAATTGTCAACATGTGTCCAGATAGTTGCAAAAAATATATAATTTCCAACATATTCTCCATATTAACACTTTAAAATAAAACTGTTAATCGCTCATATGTTCAATTCAATCTAAATATCATAATGTTTTGACACCCATTATCATTAATTTAAAAAATATACAAACAACCTCTTTCTTAATGGTTGGAAATTTTACATTGCTCTTTTTTCCCACTTTGAATTCATATTTTTATTCTACCCCCCATGTAGAATTTTTCTTTTTCTTTTTTTTTTTTTTTTTGAGTTCTCAACCCTGGTTACATCCTAATGTAATTTTTTTCTTTGTTCTTGGAAATCTTTTATTGAGCCACCTATTCTGCTTCTTTGCAACAAAATATGTTCTTACATTGAATTTTTAATTTCTTGTTGTAAGTGTAAAAGTTATATGGGCTGGGTGCAGTGGCCCACACCTGTACTCCCAGCACTTTGTGAGGCTGAAGCAGGAGGATTACTTGAGCCCAGGAGTTCAAGACCAGCCTAGGCACATAGGGAAACCTCATCTCTACAAAAAAAAAAAAAATTACTGGACATGGTGGCTCCTGCCTGTAGTCTCAGCTACTTGGGAGGCTGAGGTAGGAGGATCACTTGAGCCCAGGAGGTCGAGGCTGCAGTGAGCCATGATCGTGCCACTGCATGCACTCTACCCTGGATGACAGAGTAAGATGCTGTCTCAAAAAAAAGTTATATGGATTAAGATAGGATTACCAACTGTTAGAGATCAAAATAATGTCAGTACAGATTGGATATGCCTTATTTGAAATGCTTGGGACCAAAAGTGTGTTGGATTTCAGATTATCTTGGATTTTAAAATATTTGTATATACATAATGAGATATCTTGAGGCCGGGACCCAAGTCTAAGCATGAAGTTCACTTATGTTTCTTATATACATTATGCACATAGCCTGAAGGTAATTTTATACCATATTTAAAATAATTTTATATGTGAAATGAAGTTGTGTTAAGTACAGTACTTACATGTGGCATCATATTGGTGCTCAAAAAGTTTCAGATTTTGGAGCATTTCAGATTTTCTGATGAGGGATGCTCAATCTGTAATACACATTTTGGTAAATAAAAGTGTAAGTTTGTAATGGTAAAATTTAACTAGAAATGCATCTCTTAATGAGATGGATAGGGACTTTATTTTCCCAATTTCATGTTGACAAATGTTACTTATTGTTAATGAATCTGGGCTGTATATTATTTCAATTAAAAAATTTTAACATGAAAGAACTAAGGAATCTTGATCATATAAATGAATGAGAAAATAAAGACTTGTTGAGGCAACTTCACCCAATTTTTAAAATTTCTTCTTAGTCGTATGCAAAACTCACATAATGGGCTATTATTAAATAATATTTTTAATAATCTGTCAGCTGACAACTCAAGTATAAGGTTCTTCTTCAATTTTGTTGAAAGCAAAGAATTAGAAACCAATTGACTTGCAAAACTATTTTTATACATACATTAGGTTCTTTCACTTTGTTTTTAGAACTATACCAAAGACTTCACAAAGTCTTATAAAATAACTAATAATTATACCTGCTGCTCTTTCCCTTAGAGATACCTTGTTCATGAATCTCAAATTAGATAAAACTAGGGTTAAAGAAAAACAACCCCCCACACACAAAATTGGAGATCAAAAATCAATAGGTTCTTAAAAAATATCTCTTCATTTTTTATGTCATCTGGAAGTGCCTTTTAAAACTATGACACAGAGATGGTGCTGTATAGTTTACAGTTCATGTGTGTGTGTGTTTAATTTCATTATTGTACAAAATTGTTAATTTTATAATCATGCATTTGATAGATGTAAAACAGTGTGTCAGCCTCCAAGCGGGAGAAATTAATCCAAAATAAATGAAGCTGGATTTCTAAAGTTTAGAGCATCACATCCAAGATTGCATTTGGGAACATTCTGTTTTGTATCCATACACAAATGAATTTCTGTTTTTAAGAACACAATTTAATCTACTTAGTGGAAATCAACAGCAAAATGAAGAGAAGGTATTAGATAATTAATAAATATAGGTTTACAGAAATTCTATTACTGACTGCTATTATGTGCATTAATTACAGCAGAATCCACAAAACATTTCCATCAAATTAAATCTTACTCTAGGAGGTATATGATAAAAATAAATAAATGAACAGAGAAATAACAGCATACTATAAACTGTTACCCAAATAGAAAAATATATTTACACTATCCAGAAATCTTTGGTAAAAGTTAATGAAAATATTTCCCCTATTAGTTAGAAGAAGTTCAAGAAAACATACATTAAAATACCTTCAATATGTGTTTGTTTTACTCCAAGATGTGATGTTGATCTGTGAGAAATTAATTTTGAGCGTTTTGCCTCCACTGCCTTGAAATAATGCAAAATAAGCAACTGAGCTGGGGGCAGTGGCTCATCCCTATAATCCCAGTGCTTTGGGAGGCCAAGGAGGGAGGATCGCTGGAGCCTGGGTGACAGAATAAGACTCTCTCTCTCTCTCTGTGTATATATATATATATTTGCAACTGAAGCACAGATGGGACACAGGTAAGTGGGAGAACTCACCAAGCTCTTTGTTAGTATTTAGAGTGTTTCATAGAAAGTTAATATTTCTTAACTTTTTTTTTTTTTTTTTTTTTTTTTTACAAATTTAGAATATCCTAGCTCTGAGACAAAAATTGGGAACCTCAGCATGAGTTTGTCACCTGAATGAAATAAAAAAAATCACGTTGAAGGCTGGTGCAGTAACATGTGCCTGTAGTCCCAGCTACTCTGGAGGCTGAGTCAGGAGGATCACTTGAGACCAGAAGTTCAGGAATTCAAGACTGGCTTGAGCAACATAGCAAGACTTCATTTCAAAACAAACAGAAAAAAGCCACCACCTTCAGTATTTCTTGCCAAAGCAAAGGAGCCATTTGTTCTTTACGATGGTCAGGAAAGGAAGCATCAAGGTCATCAAATGAAAAATTTTCAGCATTTCAGCCTCTCTGCTCAGGGAAATATCTGAATCTAGAATATCACAACATGAGCCAAAACCGCCCCATTTCTCATGCCACATGTCACTCTTAACACAAGGTTACTCAACCTCGAGCATGGTTGGCATTTGGGGCTGAATAATTCTTTTTTGTAGGGGGCTGTCCTGGGCATTGTAGGATGCTCATGAGCTACCTCAGTCTCTACCACCCACTAGATGCCAGTAGCATTGACCCCTGATCTCTCTACCCAAGTTGTGACAACTAAAACCATCTCTGGATAATGGAGGAACCTTAAATGCATATTGCTAAGGAAAAGCCAATCTGAAAGGATTACATATTGTATGAGTCCAACTATATGGTAATCTGGAAAAGGCAAAACCATGGAGACAGTGAAAAGGTAGTGGTTACCAGTGGTCCATGGGAAGGGTTGGATGAATAGGTGGAGCACAGAGGATTTTTAAGGCAGTGAAACTATTCTGAATGATACTGTAATGGTGGATACATGTCATACCTTTGTCAAAACCAATAAAATATAACAACCAATAAAACTGCACAAAGAGTGAACCCTAATGTAAACTATGGACTTAATAATGTATCAATATTGGCTCACCAATTTTAACAAATGTACCACACTAATGCAAGATGTTACTAATAGTGGAAACTGGAGGGAAGAGGGCTTGAGGGGACATACGGGAACTCTCTGTAATTCCTGTTCAGTTTTTCTGTAACTGTTAAACTGTCCAAAAAAAGTCTGTTTTTATAAATGGAGGCATGGTTTTATATGGACTAAAATACTATGATTGCCTTTTTATTTTACACATGGTGAAATTAGAGCAGGACATATTTTAAACTCAAAATTCACAAAATTAATTTATGAAAATGTTTACCCAGATCAAGAATATTAAAGAAACTTAGATTAATATTGTTACCTTGAATTTATTTTACTGAGTAATCCTCTAAGACTCCTCTACACATTATTAATCTAGAAGGATTTTTAAAGTCTTTATGACAATTAATTATTGGTCTACAGTCAAATTGCATATCCCCATTAACTAGAGTTATATTTTTCCATTTTCTGATCCAAAAACTTTAGGAACAGGAAATGTTTATTTTAGAAAACAAGAACACTTCTTAAGCATTTGCTGTTAACAGTTATTTTCACATGTGCTTGTACTTATTTTACACTTGTCAGAACATAGTATTTACCTTTGAACCAAGGTTTTATAATAAGCAAGCACTTTTTTTATTTAGAAGTCACATTTTCCAAGTAGAAAAATCATTAAAAATTCAGTCCTCTGAAGGCTAATTTCTTTAAATCATTTAACCTAATTGTTTAAGGTATAGATTGGAATTTTTCTCAGCACTCTCTTGAAAACAGGTGACAGTGGAACCCTGTTAGGTTCACAAATCCTAGACTTTGATTATATAGCCCAGGCTCAAATTTTTCTCGAATGTTACGAACATTCAAAGCATTAGGAGTCTTGGTTTCATTTCTTAATTTTTTTTCTTCTGGGTATATTTGAGACTCATCTTGGATTCAAATAAATTAATAATAGTCTCATGAAACCGATAAAAATGGGAGCTCCATTGAACATGAGAGACATTGATTCGTAGTTTCTAACATCCTCCAAATGAGGAGCCCATCCCTAATTTAGATGCTTCTTTCAAAGGAGGCTCCTTTCCTTCGTTATCCATAATATAGTCACACCAGTCCTGAAAAAACATGGAACAGACTCCAGATCTTTATATTTCATACTCTAAAGTCGTACAAGCCAATCTGCATTTCCTCTAGTGGAAACTGTATAGCTGGTCATCTTTCCAGGACCCTTTTATCAAGAAACAATGCAGCTTCTACATTTGTGCTGCTTCTACACCAAAACAGCTGGAATGTATATAGTATGGTTCTGGATGCTCTTGTATACCTCACTCTTCATTTCTCACCTAACCCATGTGCTATGATTTGAATGTTTCTCCCCTGCAAAACTCATGTTGAAATGTAATTGCCATGATAACAGTATTAATAGGTGGAATATTTAAGAGGTGATTAGGGTGGGATTGGTGATGTTATAAAAGGGTAAGTTCAGCCCCTTCTTGCTCTCTCTGTCACCCTTCCACCTTCCTCTGTGTGATGATGCAACAAAAAAGCCCTTCCCAGATGCCAGCATCTTGATTTTGGACTTCTCAGCCTACAGAACTATAAGCCAATAAATTTCTGTTATTTGTTATTAGTCTGTGATATTCTGTTACAGTAGCACAAAATGGACTATGACACCATGTGTTTACACAGAAAGAAAAAAATATCATACGGTAATTGCTCCTAAATATGCAGAGAATATGTTCTGATATCCTTAGTGGATGCCTGAAACTGCAGATAGTACCAAACCTTATATATACTATGTTTTTTTTCCCATACATATGCATGTTAAAGTTTATAAGTTAGGCAGAGTAAGATATGAACAATAACTAATAATGAAATAGAAACGTAACGATGTGCTGTAATAAAAGTTATGTGACTGACGCCTCTTTTTCTTCCTCTTTCTTTCAAAATATCTTAATATTTTCAAGCCATGGATAACTGAAACTGCAGAAAGTGAAACTGTAGATAAACTATTAACTCTATTTAAACAATAAAAGAATTATAATTATATTCTTGGGAAAATTAACAATTATCCAAAGTCCCTTTGCAAAGGGAAAAAAAATGCATGTATTGGAAAAAATCTCAACCACAGGGTTCCCTAAGCTTTGCAAACAACAAATAGCATCCACCTATCCATCCTCAGAGAGCAACAGTTTTACTGTTATTTAGAAAAAGCAACTATTTCAGGCTGCAGGTTGTGCACATCAGCACTTCCCAGCTCTCTACTAATATGGGAAAACTGACTATCCCTGACTTCAGTTTTTGTGAAGCTAAATGCCTGACTAGAGTTTAAACTGAGGCTAATTGGAGATCATAAAATTTTACAGCTTGCTAGAGGTGGACCACAATTTTGATTGGAAACTTTCCACCAACCAATTCTAAAAGGTGTTAATGGTGACTATTTTCTAAAACAAATCTGAAGAGTAACTAATATGATAAGACCAGAAATATATTTCTCTGGCAAGTCCCTATAAAAAGAAAGCTAGGTAATTAAATAATCTCTCAACAATATTGTTTTAGGAAACCCAATAGAGAGTTTCACAGGCCTGTTTCTTATGGGATTGCTCAATGTAGGTAAATATTATCAAACCAAAAAGTAATTTTGTAACAGAAATTCTACAGAGCCCCAATACCTTACAGAATGATGAGTACAACAGTAGAAACAAATAGAAGATAACCTAGAAAAATAAAGCGAATAACTTAATGGCGTGAGTTAGGTTAAGAAAAGCTTCCTGGAAAAAGACATCTGAATAGAATTTTAGTAGATATAGCTAGGAATTCCCAAGCAGGTAGAAGAAGGGGGACATTCCAGGCAAAGGAATCATGTGAATGCAAAGGTAGGGAGTCATGAATCAATATGTTCGGTTTTTTTGTTGTTTTTGTTTTATAAAGAGCTATAATAGGCTGGGCACAGTGGCTGTAATCCCAGCACTTTGGGAGGCTGAAGCAGGTGGATCACTTGAGCCCAGGAGTTCGAGACCAGCCTGGGCAACATGGCAAAACACTGTCTCTACAAAAACAAAAAAAATTATCCCTGTTCAGTGGTGTGCGCCTGTGGTCCCGGCTACCTGGGAGGCTGAGGCGAGAGGAGTGCTCAAGGTGGGAGGTGGAGATTACAGTGAGCAGAGATCACACCACTGCACTCCAGCCTGAGCGACAGAGAGACTCTGTCTAAAAAAAAAAAAAAAAAGCTATAATAAGATCAGCTTACTAGACAATACAGTGAAATGGGGGAAGCTAGAGAAGAGAGGTGGGCAGTGGCCTCTTATGCTACGTAAGAGATTTGACATCATAAAGTAAGTTGCCAGAGTTCTGAATGAGGGCATTAGAAATAGTAATGAACAGGAAAGCATACACTTAAGAGCTGTCTGCTGTCTGGGAGGTGGAATTTACACTGAGTACTGAGTAATAGAATGAAGGGGTTGAGGGAAAGGTAAGAATCTAGGGTGAGTGTAAATCTTCTGGTTCAGGGGATAAACAACAGGAAGTCATTGAAATCTATTGGCCTATCCGCATTTTGAAATTATTTTTACTCATGTAAGATTCTGTAACATTATATGGTCATTAGGAAATATCTGTTTACTGAATTATGGAGGTATTCGAAATGTTCAAACATTTCATGCAATATCAAAAACTCAAACTGGCTGCAGTGGCTTATGCCTGTAATCCCAGCACATTGGGAGACCAAGGCAGGAGTACTGTCTGAGCCCAGGAGTTCAAGACCAGCCTGGGCAACATGGCAAGACCCCATCTCTACAAAATTTTTTTAAATTTGCCAAGAGTGGAGTGCACATCTGTGGTCTCAGCTACTTGGAAAGCTGAGGCAGGAGGATCACTTGAGCCCATAAGGTTGAGAGCTGCATTCAGTGAGCCCTGTTCATGCCACTGCAATCCAGCCTTAACAACAGAGCAAGACCCTGTCTCAAAAAAATATTATATTCATTAATGTTGCTGCTGATATCAGAAAAAATTCTAAGTATCCCACAGTAGCAGATACAAGCTTTTCAAAATTCCAACTTCTACTTTTAAAAGCTTAAATTTTAGCACTGGCAACAAATACAACTAGTTGTTTTCCCTAAAGTGATAGTATCACTGTTTATTTTCAAGAAAATGTCTGCCAAATTCCCAAGTCTGAATAATCAATTTTCTGTCACTTTTTTTTTCCAAGTGAAAAGATGGTGTTTCCATGAAAGAAAAGAAAAAGTGGCTAATTCAGCTTGCAACTCAAACAAGTGTTTTTCCAAAAGACAACTATATTTCAGCATGCAGTAGAAGTGTTTTATGGGTACATCACATTGTGTCACAAAGAATTTTTTTAAATGTGCTTAAGGGTTGAGATTTAGTAGAAAATAATTTTTACAACTTCATCAAGGACATTATTTTAGTAAAACTGTTTTTTTTTTACTACGAATGTGTGGTGGTGAAGAATACAATGACTACTAATAAAATTTGGTGCCATTGCCTTAATTCGTGCTAAGACACCAGTCATTTTACCCACCATTGGATAAAATCCACCATTTTTGCACCATCAGTGCAAATGTTAACACAGTTAACACAGTTGTTGAGGATAAACCACCAGATTCAAAAAAGTCATATAACACTTTTAATGTTTCAGAACCCCTGTTGCCCAGAATTCACATAAAAGAAGATCATCAATGGTCAATTGATGCTGATACCTGATGAATGAAAGCAAAACAGGATGTATAGCCATCTGTAGATCAGTCCCTTTGTAAGGCTAAGGTACAATTCTTTAGATGATATATTAACTCAGTCTTTATGTTTGCAGTTAAATCTTTAATTTGACAAGTTATTGCATCATTGGAAAATGCCAGCACTATGCATTCTTGTGGTGATTTTTCATCCAGCAGGTATTCAGCAATGTCAACTGTTCAAGCCTTTATTAGTCTCTCTGTGATTGTGTGTGCTCCTCTAGCCAATACAATATGATGGCTTATCCTGTAAGAAGCTTTTAAAGAGTGTATTACATCTACATTTCGGTTATTTAATTCCTTTTTTTAATAAATTCTGAATGAGTGGTCCCAAAATGATACTGCAACTTTGTTGGAACCATATAAGTGTTTGAAAATGTTTTACTGCACAAGACACAATATGATAAATTATTAACATCTATAAAGCTGAACAAAAGATCACTTTCAACATATTTTTGTTGTGTATAGTTGTGCTCAGTTTCTTTGGAATAGATTTCTCCTTTTTATGAGGAATCAGATAACTTGCTGATATGTCAATGTCATCCTTTTCAGCATCTCTAGACATAGGCAATCTAGACACCAGAAAATGTGTTTTCTCTTCTCCCTTTTTAAAGCCAACCATCCACCCTATTCAGATAAAATTTTTTAATTAAAAACATTTTTGAAAAATATATTATTGCAAAACAACAAAGTAAACATAATTTTTGTTATGTTTCTGTGTAAAAGGAAAAACTTTAGGATTTAAAAATGATTTCTTGGAAGATAATGAGATTACAGAGATTATAACAGGTATAACTGAAGATAGCTGGTAAGAGCATGGTAGAAAAGAAATAATTTCTGAAAACTACATACTTATACCGTAAACTCACTACCTTTGAAAACTCTAGAAAATACAATACACAGGCACACAATCTGTTAGGTATCAGAGAAATAGTCATCACTATTCATCACATGCCATTGTTGTCTTTGGCGAACCCTTCTGTACACTTATGAGAGTGAGAGTAAAAAAAAGGCAAATAACATCTTAATTTTATGAATATTTTTGACCTTGTTGACCCTCTAAAAGGATCCAAGGGATCTCTCCCTCCCAACATCCCCAGGAATCCTCTGATCACATTTTGAGAACTGTTGGATAAGTCAGTTAATATTGCAGGAACATAGGCTATCACCATGGGGAATAAATGAAACCAGATCTCTACCTCACACCATTACAAAAATAAATTTTAAATGAAATAAAAGGCTAAATGTGAAAAGGTAAAGGTTTAAAGCTTTGGGGGGGAAATGTAGAATAACTTTATTATCTCAAGGTAGATAGCCTAACAATACCACGTGCTGAAGCAGAAATGTGAAGAAATGGGAATTTGCATAGAATCTTGGTGGAAGGGTTAGTTTTCCCACTTATTTCAACTACTTATTTCACATATGCAGTGTTGTACAAATTTAAAGAGACAAGAATCCTACAGACAAGCAATTCTATGTTTATATGCCCTAGAGACCTGAAGACATTCTCAAATACAAAAACAAAGAAGTATGCATAAGGATGTTCATTGCAGGTTTGCTTATAATTGGTGGAAAGTCAGGGGATGCCCATCAGTGCATAAAAAAGTAAATAAAATTGTGTTGCCTTTCTACAATAAATTGTGCAACCATTAAAATAAACTAAATGTCCATATTTCACAAGGACAATTCTCACAACATAATAACAAATGATATGCACTAACTTTAAACTAGTAATTGCATCTGGTGAGGGAAAAGAAAGGTGGACCTGAAGTCAGGTGCAAACAGCACAACTGTATTTGAGTAGTGGTTGCATGACTGTTGTTCCATGTATTTTCTGTATGTTACAAATATTTACTATTAATTATAACAACATAAGATGTACTCTAACTCCTTCATGCTGCTAATTATAGAATATCTACTTTGTTGACTAAACCCTTTAGCATATATATATATATATATATATATATATATATAGCCTATTTCTGTTAATGGTTCTTTGGATAAATAACAGTTGACTTTGTTCCTCTGCTTGGTATTTTAAAAAACCTATTAGTTTACAAATCTCTTACTAATTTTAGTTTTAATATTTGTATTGTTAAGTATTTTAAACACACAGAAAGGCAAATAAACCCCCATTACCCAAACACCCAGCTTTATTAAATCTTAGTATTTTGTCCTATTTGTTTCAATGGTTTTTTTAATAAATCAGTGACTACAATAAAATTGATACCTCTGAATCCTTCCATTTTCTTTTCACTGCCCCCAGATATAACCACCAATGTGAAGTCAGTTTTATCATTGCTATGCATGTTTTTAATATTTTTACTAAATGTTTATGAATTCTTAAACATTATGAAGCATTATGTTATAGAGTTTTTAAGTTTTATAAAATATTATCTAATACTGTTACTTTAAGAAAACCTGCAGTAACCCCTTCTGAAAAAGATTAATCACACGTAATTTGTTACATATTAAAATAACTGCTCCTAAATAGTGATGTGGCCTTGGGCAAGCTCTTTCAAGTTTCTGTGAGCTCCAGCTTTTCCTTATCTGTGTGGTAAAAGAATATGAGACTATGTCTGCGCTCTCTTTCAGATTATAAGTCTCTATAAATTATTCAACTCAAATGTCCCCATGGGTTTACTTAAAGGATAGTTTTGTCCACTTATGAACAACTGTGTTTCATCAAAATCAGAATTTACTGAATGTTCATTCATTTTAACTTTTTTAAGTGGTTTGTCACAGAATTCCTTTCAATGCTGAGATTTTCAAATATATTGCAACCATCGAGAGGACATTCTTGAATATTCACTATAAGCCTGATGCTATGCGAGGTGCCAGAGATACAAGAGGGAACTTGACAGGTACAGTCTGTCTCCCACAAAGCTTATGGCTGAGTTTTTAAAATGTAATTCAAGCTTTTCAGGAATACAGTCAATCCATAAAGCAATAGGGAGAAACATTTCCAATATCAAGAGGCACTGATGAATGAATGTGTGAATAACTAAATTTTGTAACTTTTTTTGTAGACATAAAAATAAGCATTCACTGTGTCATCCTTAAATAAAATCATTGGCAGAGTGTAGCCTATAAATGTCTGGAAATACCTCACCAAAGGCTAGAAGACATTTTGCCAGAAGGAAGTAATGTTTACATTTCTATATTTTGTTTCTTTTTCCTCTACATATGCATTTTGTCCTATGTCTATGTCTCCTTCTTAATAGGCTTTGACATGAACCCAAAGCAAATGTTTCCTATTATTTTATCTATTTATTGAATATACATTGTTTTCTGAATGCTATTCCTTTCATTTACCAGTTCTAGTAGTCTGGGTTTGCTCTTATTTCTCTTTACTCTAAAATGGTTTTTTTAATCTGTAACACAGAACTTAGTGCTTGGTTATATATAGGTAGGCATTGTTTTCTAAAAACACTGGTTTACAAAATGGAATGTGCACACTACAGGGAATGTGCAAATGATCCTTGAGGATACAGGAAGGAAGTGTTAAAGTTTCTATTTATTTTGGTAACTTATAAACTTTCTATTTGTTACAGTGTGAGTTCTGGTGTATATAGTCAAGCCATATGCTAGTACATGGGATAATGTATAAATAAACATGTAAGTGTCGATAAGTACTCAACTCTTTTTTACTGAGAGGGCTTTAGGCTTTTTTTTTTTTTAAGTTTCAATACCACAGTTCAAATGTGTGTGTTGGTCTTATCTATGTAATTGTTTTGTGTGCTCTTTCAGGGAGTGGTGGTGTCTTGTGTCTCTTACTCTGTCCAAAGGACCTTGTATGTATAAATGCGAATAAATATTTATTGAACTCCACTAATAAATGATTCCATTCTTCAGACCATCAAACTAAGGACTACGCTTTGAACATGCTTTGGAAACATTTTCATTAAAGCCAAAATGTCTCAGAAATGTTTAATTAAAAAATAAAATTGGCCGGGCGCAGTGGCTCACGCCTGTAATCCCAGCACTTTGGGAGACCGAGGCTGGCAGATCACAAGGTCAGGAGTTTGGGACCAGCCTGGCCAATATGGTGAAACCCCGTCTCTACTAAAAATACAAAAATTAGCCAGGCATAGTGGCAGGCGCCTGTAGTCCCAGCTACTCGAGAGGCTGAGGCAGGAGAATCGCTTGAACCCAGGAGGTGGAGGTTGCAGTGAGCCGAGATCACACCACTGCACTCCAGCCTGGGAAACAGAGTGAGGCTCTGTCTCAAACAAAATAAATAAATAAAATTAAAAGGGAAGACAAAGATATTTTTCTTTGTACCAGTAGAAGGAAGATTTAATGAAAAATAAACTGCAATAGTAAATTTAGAAGTAATACTGAAAGAGCAACTGGGAAGTCTTAGATGAAGTTGTCACCAGCTTCTTCAAAGCAATGAAATATCCAGTTGTCCCATTTAATTCTCATTTGGTATAATTTTTCATTGATAAGAATAATTCATAATTAACCAGCTTACATATGCTTCTTAAATTTTAGTGTACATAAGAATTGCTAAGAAGTAGGCTTAAATGCAAATTCTCAGGCTCCAGCCCAGGGATCCTAATTCAGCAGTTCTAGAGGTTATTCAGAAATCTGCATTTTCATGAAGTACCCTGGATGATTCTAATGGATGTTGTCTGTAACACAACTTTCAGATAAATGTCCTGTATAAGCATATTCTATCTTGCCATTAGCCATGAGAATTTGATTAAAGAAACAAATCTAAGAACCCAACTACTAGTCTATTACTCCAACCATTCCTTCTTGCCAACTGTGATCAGAAGTATGAAAAAAACAGCCCATGTTCTTCCTTAGAGGAAGACCATATCCCAACTGTGAAATGGTCCAGACATCTTGGAACTGAATATGGATTGTGATCCTGATACCCCCAACCCTCACTGCTCTTCATATACCAGCTGAGCATTTCATAATATTTATTCGATAAACCTTTCCTTGGTCCTGAGCCTCCTTGCTTCCCGACCTACTCCATGTAGCCTGGCTACTCTTATTTCCATGAGGTGGGCTGTCTTCTGGCCCTCCCATCATCCCCAACAGATGTGAACATGAGGGACCTTGGAGCAGGGGTAGATACTCCAGTGCAAAAATAGTGGACACTCACCTCTTCTAAGACCTTTTATCAATCATTCTCTAAACACCTCTCAAACATGTCCTTCCCTTGTATTTCCTCTTTCAGTGGATTAAACCACTGTCCACTCAACTGTCTGAGTGAGAAGATTGGATTCAGTGAGTTTTCAGGTCCTACCAAGTCTATTTCAAAGTGTCATTTCAATGATTTTATTTCCTTTGCTTCTAAATAGTGGCATACATGGATATCAAGTACTGTAGTGGGTTCAAAATTGGAGAAATGGATTTTGAAGTCATCTTTTTGCAGGTACAAGAGAAGCCATATTGAGTCAGTCAGAGAAGAGAAGACAGGAAAAGTAGAATAAAATCTTTAGAATATTCAAAGCATTACACAAATGTAATGTTTTATTATTAACTGTGACTTCATTTTGGTTCCAATTCTGTCCAGAGAAATTTGAATGCTGGAGTTTTGGGAATTTTAAGGCTTTGAGCAAGGAACATTTTATGATCCTCTGCTTACCACTTGTTTATTTACAACAGAATTTCAGCAATGAAGAGAAAGTTATTTTTGTAGGAAAAAAAATCCTACAATGCTTACTTCATACAAATTAGTTGTGCCTTGGGTTCAGATTAACATACACACTCAAAAGACTTGGTGGGCTGTTATACGGCAACTTATTTATTTAGCTTTGTAGAGGAATATTGGATATGGAAACATAGCTTGTCAGCCTGACAGCATTAGACATCTTCATCAGGAGTCTTTATGTATTCTAGATGCTGATTCTTAACCCTCTCATCTCATGGGAATATGCATGGTCATAGTAGACAAGACCACAGGAGTAGGGGAGAGGCACGGGGGAGCCATTCTAGGATGGAAGAATCTCTCACATGACAGGAACCACATCTTATACCAACCCATGAGTGAGGATTCCAAGAAAACAGGCATATTCGGATTCAAGAAACACACCATAACAGAGTCCAGGGCCTACATTTCCCAACAGGTTTTCATACGGGTCTGGTCATATAGGTCCACCAAGTCTAAATGCCTGCCCGCAGTCTGCCCAGCATAGATGTAGTTCACCAACCAGGGGTCATTTCCACACTTATAAATAAATAAATAAATAAATAAATGTGATTTTTTAAAATACAGCTGACATTTCACATTTATCCAAACAGTACATTTCAAAGAAACAGTAAGTATAAGGTAAACTGGAGTTCATCTTCCCATGGGAAAAAAGAGCTTAAAACTGTTGTTAACCCTTTGACCTACCAACAAACATTGCTTACTCCCACTCAAGAGCTCATTCCAGTTAGGACACAACCTGGTGACAGCCCTTCCTGGTAGCAACTACTGAGCATTGCAAGGAGAAGAAATTGGGATGGGTGCCTATAAAGAGAAAAACTCTCTTTTTAACCTTCAAATCTAAAGAAAATCAATCCAACAAGCATTTGCTGCAAACCTAGTGCCAAGCACTGCCACATAGGAAGATGCATCTGCCATCTGTCAAGACAGACTGAGGGAGGAATGGGGGTAGAGACCAATTAGAAAACAGGAAAAAACGAGACCAGCTGGGGACAGCTGCAGCAAAGCACCCTGAGGATACTAAACACCCTCAGTATTTAGCTAGGATGGCCTAAAAGAGCTAATCTGAAAGAATTCATAAATCATATGGATGCTTCTATTATAAATTAGAGGAAAGGCAGATTTATACATCATGAAGCCTATAAGGTAAATATTATCTAGTAGTATGAACATAGCTTCACCACACAGCCTCCTAAAAATCTATGGATACTTTCCTGAAAGTACCCCTGAAGGCATTCCTCCTGGATTCTGTGAAGTAAATTAGCCCTCAAGGTGTACCCAGCAAGGGCTCAATAGAGTGCACAATAAATGCTCAACACACATCTATCTTCCTCCCCTCCCACTATCCAAGCTTCATGCCTACCTCATGAATCTCCAAGTTCCTTTCTCTCCTGTCCCTGGAGCATAGATGAATCAGAATCCCTGCTTGCCACCCCATTGGACACCTTGAAAAGAGACCCTTGGAATGGCTATGACAACACATCAGTCCTGGCTACGAGTGTAAGACCCTGGGCATCAGGAAGCCTCAGGCCATGAGCTATTGAATGTCGCTTGTCACTTTGCCCTTTGAGGACCAGAAATAAAGCTTCCAGTTCCTGTGAAATGGCAAATAGGTAGGTTCAGGCTTCCAGCTCCCTCACCCAAAATTAATTTTTGTAAAGGTAGAGAAGCAAAAGGAAGCAAGGATCTGGGGAGCTGGCAACACCAGAAATAAGTATAAAGTGTTTTTATATTTGCCAGGAGAGACAGAACTGCTGTCTTGAGCTGGTGTGCGTAGAGAATGGGCAGGGCTGCATCCTGGGAGATAAGCCACAGTGGGAGAACAGGCTGCAGGAAGACTTTTTAATTTCTGCACTATGTCCTTCCCAATCGGCTTGGGACAATTGTTGCCTCCCCTTCATACATAAACAGGCTGCAACAGGCCAGGCTACTTGTATCTTCAAGGTAAATCAGTAGGGAACAGATGAAACTAGGGGTGAGCTTTTGGGTATTCTCTTCTCCACTACTCACGACCACTGCCCCAACTCCCAGCGCTGGTGAATCCCAACGTGGAGCACCTGCCTACTCCCAACTGTGCTTTTCCTAGGAGTTGCCTGAAAGAGTAGTGGCAAATGGGGAGATCCACAGTGTTTCTGGGCTCTCTACCAGGGCTGGATCTGGAGGGACACAGACCAGTATTTGACTTTATCTCTTCCCCATTACACATTACCCCACAGACTAGCTGGTGCCCTCCTGGAGACGTGAGCTCACAGATCAACATAATGATATGGCTAAGGAACAAAAAAATTGCAAAACATAGACAACAAATTAACACCATATACTATCTAATGCAGAATTGTGAAGAAGATGAACCAAGAACTTGAAACAAAATGGCAAATATACTTAAGATAATAGAAGATACCAGCAACATAAAGCAAAACCAGTAACTCACAAAAACAAAGACAGAATATTAGATGTTAAAACTATAACAGTAGAAGTTGTAAATACTATAGATTAGACAAGTACCAGGATAAATATAGCTGAAGAATAATTTGTGAGGTAAAAGATAAGATGAAAGATAATCCCAGAAGACAGTAGGAAAGAATAAAGACATCAAAAATATAAAAGAAAGTTCAGCAAAATGTATGCTAGAAATAGAAGTATCAACATCTGAATCATAAGAGAACTCACAGTGAGAGGAAAAAAATATATACGTGAGAAAATAATGACTAATAAATTTACAATTTTTTTTTAATTATGAAAGACCTCAGAGAAAAGGGTTCAAAGGATACTTAACAGGAGCTTCAGAAAAATCCACACCTATGCTCGTTATATTGAGACAAATAAATATTTTTAAAACTTAGAAAGAAGAGTTTATCAACTGGGCACAGTGGCTCACGCCTATAATCCCAGCACTTTGGGACTTTGGGAGGTAGAGGCGGGTGGATCACTTGCGGACAGGAGTTCGAGACCAGCCTGGCCAATATGGTGAAACCCTGTGTCTACTAAAAATACAAAAATTAGCCCCGCCTGGTGGCGTGTGCCTGTAGTCCCAGCTACTCGGGAGGCTGAGGCAAACCCGGGAGGTGGAGGTTCCAGTGGGTGACAGAGTGATACCCTATCAGAAAAAAAAAAAAAAAAAAGAACAGTTTACAAAGGAGTAAGATCAGATTGATGTCAGACTTTTCAACAGCAATGAATGCAAGAATAAAATAAAATAATATTTTTATAGTAGTGAAGGAAAATAAACTGGAGTTTAGAACTTTATATGTATCAAAATTGCTATTCAAGTGAGATGGCATAACAAATTTATTATCATGCAAAGAATCCAAAGGCTCATATTTAAAACACTCTTGGACGTGGTAAAAAAAAAAAAAAAAAAACACTCTTAGAGGAAGTACACAAAAAGAGAATCAAATCAAGAAATTTACAACAAATATAAGGGTGATTTGTCAACAAATCCAGGACCATATTTTTAAAAGAGGGTAAATGAATGTGTGTGTGTGTAATATCTACTTGGTAGGAGAATTGGCATTAGAGGGAGGGAAGTAGAAAATCAAAAGAACATAAGAGTATGCTAAAGAACTTAGGAGGCAAGATATAAATATTAAGGTAGTTAAGACATTTTAAAAGGTAAATGCTCACTGTGTTAAATTAAAGGCAACCACCATAAGAACAGAATCAGTATGTATAACTTTTAATACAGCAGAAAAAAATCAGTCTATCAAATGGAAAGCAAGAAAAGGGAAGAAACATTGTACAATAAAAACAGAATGTGAAATGAGTTGCAAAAGTAAATCTTTACTTCAGCAGTTACCAATAAAAGAACAAAGGCTCTAATAATGGAGGAAAAAGGGAACCAAATCATGTGTGATTTATAACAAATACTCTTTTTTAACTTTTAAGTTCAGGGGTAAATGTGCAGGTTTGTTTCATAGGTAAACTTGTGTCAGGGAGGTTTGTTGTACAGATTATTTCATTACCCAGGTATTAAGCCTAGTATACATTAGTTATTTTTCCTGATCCTCTCCCTCCTCCCACCTCCACCCTCCAATAGGCCCATGTGTGCAGTTCCCCTCTGTGTGTCCATGTGTTTTCACAATTTACCTCCCACTTATAAGTCAAAACATCTGGCATTTGATTTTCTCTTCCTACATTATTTTGCCAAGGATAATGGCCTCCAGCTCCATCCATGTCCCTGCAGAGGACATGATCTCATTCTTATTTATATCTGCATAGTATTCCATGGTGTATGTGTATCACGTTTTCTTTATCCAGTCTATCATTAGTGGGCATTTAGGTTGATTCCAAGTCTTTGATATTGTGAATAGTGCTACAGTGAACATATGTGTTCATGTGTCTTTATAATAGAATGATTTATATTCCTTTGTGTATGTTCCCAGTAATGGGATTGCTGGGTCAAATGGTATTTCTGTCTTTGGGTCTTTGAGGAATTGCCACACTGTCTTCCACAATGGTTGAACTAATTTACACTCCCACCAACGGTGTAAAAACGTTCATTTTTCTCCATAACCTAGCCAGCATCTGTTATTTTTTGACTTTGTAATAGTAGCCATTCTGACTGATGTGAGATGGTATCTCATTGTGGTTTTGACTTTCATTTCTCTAATGATCAGTGATGTTGAGCTTTTTTTCATATACGTGTTGGCTGCATGTATGTCTTCTTCTGAAAAGTGTTCATGTCCTTTGCCCACTTTTTAATGGTTTTTTTTTCTTGTAAATTTATTTAAGGTCCTTATAGATGCTGGATATTATACCTTTGTTGGATGCATAGTTTGCAAAATTTTCTCCCATTCTGTAGGTTGTCTGTCCACTCTGTTGATAGTTTCCTTTTTAGTGCAGAAGCTCTTTAGTTTAACTAGATCCTGTTGGTCAGTTTTGCTTTTGTTGCAATTGTTTTTGGCATCTTTGTCATGAAATCTTTGCCAGTATATCCTGAATGGTATTGCCTAGGTTGTCTTCCAGGATTTTTATAATTTTGAGTTTTATATTTAAGTCTTTAATCCATCTTGAGTTAAGGTGGATGGTGTAAGGAAGGGATGCAGTTTCAATCTTCTGCATATGGCTACCCAGTTTTCCCAGCACCATTTATTGAATAGAAAATACTTTCCCCATTGCTTGTTTTTGTCAGATTTGTTGAAGATCAGACAGTCATAGGTGTAGTTTTATTTCTGTGTTCTTTATTCTGTTCCATTGGTCTATGTGTCTGTTCTTGTACCAGTGCCATGTTGTTTTGGTTACTATAGCCCTGTATAGTTTGAAGTTGGGTAGTGTGATACTGCTAACGTTGTTCTTTTTGCTTCAGATTGCCTTGGCTATTCTGGCCCTTTTTTGTTTCACATGCATTTTTAAATAGTTTTTCTAGCTCTGGCCGGGCACGGTGCCTCAGGCCTGTAATCCCACCACTTTGGGAGGCCGAGGCAGGGGGAATCACTTGAGGCCAGGAGTTTGAGACCAGCCTGGCCAACATGGCGAAACCATGTCTCTACTAAAAATACAAAATTAGCTGGGCATGGTGGCGCATGCCTGTAATATCCCAGCTACTCGGGAGACTGAGGCAGGAGAATCGCTTGAACCTGGGAGACAGAGGTTGTGGTAAGCCGAGATCGCACCATTGCACACTAGCCTGGGCAACAAGAGCAAAAACTCCGTCTCAAAAAAATAATAATAATAATAATAGTTTTTCTAGCTCTGTGAAGTATCTCAATGGTAGTTTAATAAGAAGAGTATTGAATCTATAAATTGTTTTGGGCAGTATGGCCATTTTAATGATATTGATTCCTCTTATCCATGAGCATGAGATGTTTTTCCATTTGTTTGTGTCATCTCTGATTTCTTTGAACGGTGGTTTGTAGTTCTCCTTGTAGATATCTTTCACCTCCCCAGTTAGCTATATTCCTAGGTATTTTATTTTTTTTGTGACAATTGTGAACGGGAGTTCATTCCTGATTTGGCTCTCAGCTTGACTGTTGTTTGGTGTATAGGAATACTAGTAATTTTTGCACATTCATTTTGTATTCTGATATTTTGCTGAAGTTGTTTATCAGCTTAAGAAGCTTTTGGGCTGAGACAATGGGGTTTTCTAGATATAGGATCATGTCATCTACAAACAGGGATAGTTTATCTTTCTCTCTTCCTATTTGGACGTCTTTATTTGTTTCTTTTGCCCAATTGCCCCAGCCAGGACTTCCAACGCTATGTTGAGTAGGAGTGGTGAGAGAGGGCATCCTTGTCTTGTGCTGGTTTTTAAGGGGAATGCTTCCACCTTTTGCTCATTCAGCAAGATGTTGGCTGTGGGTTTGTCATATATGGCTCTTATTATTTTTGAGGTATATTCCTTCAATACCTAGTTTATTGAAAGTTTTTAATATGAATGCATATGGCAAATCCTCTTAAAGCAGAAAGATATGTAAAGATTGAAATTTAAAAACAGGGAAAAAAGATTTACCTGGTGGCAAATATGACACAAAAGAAAGTTGGGCAACAGTCTCAATATGTAACAAAATAGAATTGATTTTTTTTTGGGAGGGGGACAGAGTCTTCCTCTGTCTCCCAGGCTGGAGTGCAATGGCACAATCTCGGCTCACTGCAACCTCTGCCTCCTGGGTTCAAGTGATTCGCCTGTCTCAGCCTCCCGAGTAGCTGGGATTACAGGTGTGCCACCATGCCCAGCTAATTTTTTGTATTTTTAGTAGAAACAGGGTTTCACCATGCTAGCCAGGCTGGTCTTGAACTTCTGACCTCAGGTGATATACCCGCCTCAGCCTCCCAAAGTGCTAGGATTACAGGCATGAGCTACCGTGCCCGGCCTATGCACTTTATTTATTTATTTATTTATTTATTTATTTATTTATTTATTTATTTATTTTTGAGACAGAGTTTCACTCTTGTTGCCCAGGCTGGAGTGCAATGGTGCGATCCCGGTACACTGCAGCCTCTGCCTCCTGGATTCAACCGATTCTCCCTACTCAGCCTCCCGAGTAGCTGGGATTACAGGCATGTGCCACCATGCTCGGCTACTTTTGTATTTTTAGTAGAGTTGGGGTTTCATCATGTTGGTTAGGCTGGTCTTGAACTCCTGACCTCAGGTGATCCACCTGCCTCAGCCTCCCAAAGTGCTAAGATTACAAGCGTGAGCCACGACGTCCAGCCTGCACTTTATTTTTAACCTTAAATTCTATTTTGGGCCAGGTGCAGTGGTTCATGCCTGTAATCCCAGCATTTCGGGAGGCTGAGGAGGACGGATTACCTGAGGTCAGGAGTTCGAGATCAGCCTGGCTAACATGGTGAAACGCCATCTCTACTAAAAATACAAAAAGATTAGCCGGTCATGGTGGCACGCACCTGTAATCCCAGCTACTCGGGAGGCTGAGGCAGAAGAATCGCTTGAACCTGGGAGATGGAGGTTGCAGTGAGCCAAGACTGTGCCACTGCACTCCAGCCTGGGCAATAAGAACGAAACTCCATCTCAAAAAAAAATAAAAATAAAAAAAATAAAGTGCATAAAGGACAAAAGAAAAGATGTTCATATAACTTTTAAAGAAACAAGAAGATATAGTAATCATAAATATATATAAACTCAACAATACAGCCTCACAATTTATAAAGCAACAAGTGAAAGAACTACAGTTAGAAGTTGAGTTTTTTAAAAATACATTTGATGATTTTTACAAACCCTCTCTCAAAAACTGGTAGATAAACTAGACCAAAAAGAAAAAAAAAAAAAAAGCAGAGTTCTTGAAGGGCAAAATAATAAAATTATATAAGTTCAAGCTAATTAATAAAACCTGAATAAATAAGAAACTGATAGACTCTCTCACATTAAAAATGACCAAAGAGACATGAAAACTTACTGAAATGCTTGATTCTGGATTGCAGGACAAGAGACTGGGAGTGGCTGGAGTTATAAGGTTCTTTATTGGGAAAACTGGTAAAATTTGAATATGTACTGTGGATTAGCTAATATTATATCCAAGTTAAATTTTCTTAATATGACTGTTTTTCTGTGTTTATGTAAGAGAACAGCCTTGTTCTTAGGAAATACATTGAAATATTTAGCAGGAAAGGGGCATGTGTGTATGTAACTCCAGACTTCCTAACCATTTTAGAGTAAACCATTTTTTCTCTCTAATGTTTTTTCATAACCATTTTAGAGTAAGTCCCTAAAATGGACTTAGGAATATTAATGTTTTTTAGGAAAAAAACAGAGAGGGAAGCAGAGACAGAGAGAAAAAGAAAGCAAATATGACAAAATGTTGCAAATCATTGAATTTGGACAAGTGTACGTAAGAATTCTTTGTACTACTCTTCTAAAATTACTTCAAAATAAAAAGTTTTTAAATGTCACAAGTAACCTGTGAGTTAAAAGAAAAATATAAAGAATATGTAGAATTAAATAAAAATTAAAACACTGCATATCAAAATGTGTTAGATATGATTAAAGCAGAACTTAGAAGGAAATTTTTTACCTTTAAATACACTTACTAGGAAACACAAAAAAAGACCAAAATCAATAAGCTGAGTGTTCAACTCAAACGCTAGGTAAAGAGGAAGAGAATACACCCAAAGGAGGAAGGAAATAGTAAAGATAGTCATAAATGAAATAGAGAACTAAAAACAATAAAATAGATGAACAAAAACAAAAGCTGCCCTTTGAAAAGACATTTCTATTTATTATTCCAGGAAACAGAATGAAGAACAAAATCTGCCTAGGTTATTGTTTAGAGAAATTTTTATTACAAAAACAAACAAGGAAATACAAGAAAGGCAAGTTTTACGTCCATGCTTTATAAAAGTAAATACAACAACCCAAGTAAAATATTAACTAAATAACACCAACAGTAAATGTGTAACTATAGGATGAACAAATAGGGTTTATCCCAGGAATGCAAAGATGTTTCACATTTTAAAAATCTCTCAATATAATTCACTATATTAGGAGATTAAGAAGGAAAATACAATGAAATGAGTCAATTCTGATAAACTATTTTTTAAATGTAAAAAACCATTTATGTTTAAAAAATAAACTTTTAGAAAACCAGGAATAAAAGGAAACCTACTAATTTAGTAAAGGTTGACAGCAAAGACTTCTGGAAAAATTGAGTAGACATACTTTTTCCTATTCATCTCACTAAGTACAACTAAAAACTCTGGACATTATATATATATAAAACAAACATAAGAAGACTCTAAAAGGTGGAAATGAGAAGGCAGAACAGCTAGAATCTCAGGATCTGAGGAATGACATACTAGTGAGTTCCCTGGGCTTTCTTTTTGCCACATATATGCTGGGCTTGGAGCTGAAGAAAGTGACAATTTGGAAAGACCAACTGGCACAAACAAACAAACAAACAGAAAAAGCCCCAACAACACTTACAACAAAAGCCCTGATATCACTAGCCAAAAGACCAAGACAGAGGCAGGCAAGCCTGTCAAGCCTTAGAAAGTAACTGTTCAGTTCTAGGCAAATACCATAGCAATAACTGTGACTCTACTGCCATTCACACCAGAAAGACCAAGTGGGAGACCTAAACTTTCACCCTCTTGAAGCTGTAACAAGGTGCTCCAACATCACTCTGCAGTGGTATCCAAGAAGACCAATTAGGAAGCTAAGAATTTCATTTCTGCAAGCCAGTAATGGGGCCCCCTCTCTAAGATGTCAATGGAGATGGGGGCGGGGGGAGAACACCTGCCCAGAAATAATGAAAATGGCTAAAAGAAGTTATCTAAACAGAATGGAAATGATAAAATAGGAACCTTGGAACATCAAGGAAGAAGATAGAACAAGGTAAGCAAATAGATGGGTAAATACAATAAATTTTTCTTCTCCTCTTAAGTTTTCTAAAGTATGTTTGATGGTTGAAGCCAAAATTATAACACTGATGTGGTTCTAAATGTATGTAGAGGAAACATTTAAGACAATCGTATTTTCAGTGAGGAGGATAAAGGGATGGGACATAAATTAGGAAGGTAAGATTTTTATTATTTACTCAAAATGGTAAATGATGACTCCAGCAGACTGTGACAAGTTACATGTATATGTAATACTTAAAGCAACCACTTAAAAGTTATGCATCAATACACTCAAAAACACTGTAGATAAATAAAACTGGCGTTCTAAAAAATGCCCAAGTAAGCCACAGAAAGTCAGAAAAGAGTAAACAGAGATGAAAACTGGAGAGAACAAACAAAATAAATGAAAAACAATTAAGCCCTTCATGTTACTACAGGTTGGATTGTGTCCCACAGAATCCCATGTTGAAGCCCTAACCACCAATGGGACTATATTTGGAGATAGGGCCTTTTACAGAAGTAATTCAGGTTAAATGAATTCATAAGGGTAGGGCCATGATTCAATAGGATTAATTCAATAGGAAGAGAAACCAGGGTATGCTCTCTTGCTCTTTCTCCCTCCCAGCCTTCCTCTCTCTTTCTCTCTCACTCTGCCCCCAGAAGATGGCAACTCTCTCTATAAGCCAGGAAGAGCCCTTACCAGAAGCTGACCATGCTGGCGCCTTGATCTCAGACTTCCAACCTCCAGAACTGTGAGAGAATATATTTCTGTTGTTTAAGCCACCTAGTTTTATTTTGTTATGGCACCCCAAGCTAATACATATATCAATAATTACATTATTCCTAATACAAAGAAATGATAAATTCTTGAGGTGGTAGATGCCCCAATTACTCTGATTTGGTCATTGCACATTGTATGCCTGTAACTAACATCACATGTACCTCACTAATATATACAACGGTTGTGTACCCATAATAATTAAACATAAAAATTAAGAAAAAAAATTACACTAAATGCAAATGATCTAAATACCTCAATTAAGAAACCCAGTTCAGGCCAGGCATGGTGGCTTACACCTGTAAACCCAGCACTCTACAAAAAAAAACAAACAAACAAAAAACAAAAACAAAAACAAAAAAAAACCCAGTTCAAATATAACAATATAGGCCAGGCTCAGTGGCTCTCAGCACTTTGGGAGGCTAAGCCAGGTGGATAATTTGAGGTAGGTCAGGAGTTCGAGACCAGCCTGGCCTACATGGTGAAACCCCGTCTCTACTAAAATACAAAAATTAGCCAGGCATGGTGGTGTGCACCTGTGGTCCCAGCTACTCAGGAGGCTGAGGCAGGAGAATCGCTTGACCCTGGAAGACAGAGGTTGCCGTGAGCAGAGATTGTGCCGCTGCACTCCAGCCTAGGTGACAAGATGAGACTTTGTCTCAAAAAAAACACAAAACAAACAAAAACAACAATAAAACCACACAAATATAACAACATAGGCAGGTTAAAAGTAAAAGGATGGAAAAAGACACAACATGTTTTCCTTAATTAGAGGAATACAGGAGTGAGTGTACTACTCTCAGATAAGGTAAACTTCAGAGCCAAAACAAAAAAAATTACCAGAGAAAGATAAGGACGTTTTATAATAATAGAAGGGTCAGTCTATCAAGAAGACATTGCAGTCAGAAATGTTTATGCCCAAAACACCAGAGCTGTAAAATATGTGAAGCAAAAACTGACGGAACTGAAAGAAAAAATAGAAAATCCACAATTATAATTGGAGACATCAACACAACTCTCACAACTATTAATAAAACTAGAAAGAAGGCAGGGAGTGGTGGCTCAGGCCTGTAATCCCAGCACTTTGGGAGGCCGAGGGGGTGGATCACGAGGTCAGGAGATCGAGACCATCCTGGCTAACACGGTGAAACCCCGACTCTACTAAAAATACAAAAAATTAGCTGGGCGTGGTGGCGGGCGCCTGTAGTCCCAGATACTCGGGAGGCTGAGGCAGGAGAATGGCGTGAACCTGGGGACGGAGCTTTCAGTGAGCTGAGATCCTGCCACTGCACTCCAGCAGCCTGGGGGACAGAGCAAGACTCTGTCTCAAAAAAAATAAAAATAAAAAAATAAAAACTAGAAAGAAAATCAGCAAAGATGTAGAAGAGCTCAATAACACCATCAACCAACAGGATCAAATCCACATTTACAGGACACTCCACCCATCAATAGCAGAATACACATTGGCTCTTTTTTGTTGTTTTTCTTTTCCGGTTTTACTAGGTGCAAGGGGTACATATGCAGGTTTGTTACATGGGTAAATTGCGTGTCACAAGGGTTTGGTGTACAGATAATTTTAAAAGAATTTAAATTATACAAACTTTTCTCTGACTACAATGGAATCAAATTAGAAATCAATAACGGAAAGACAGCAGAGGAAAAATCATCAGCATAATACCCGATAGGTGCTTTTTCAATCATCACTGTCCTCCCACCCTCCACCCTCAAATAGGCCCCAGTGTCTATTTTTCCCATCTTTGTGTCCATGTGTATGCAATTAGCTGGTTTTTTGCTCCTGCGGTAATTTGTTTAGGATTATGGCCTCCAGTTCCATCTATGTTGCTGCAAAGGCCATGATCCCATTTTTTATAGCTGTGTAGTATTTCATGGTGTATATGTACCACATCTTCTTTATCCAGTGCACTGTTGATGAGCACTGGATAAAGAAATCTAGGTTCATTCCATGTCTTTGCTAACGTGAATAGCAGTGTGATGAACATGCATGTGCATGTGTCTTTATGACAGAACAATTTATATTCTTTTAGGTATATACCCAACAATGGAATTGCTGGGTTGTATGGGAATTTTGCTTTAAGTTCTTTGGGAAATCTCCAGACTGCTTTCCACAGTGCCTGAACTAATTTACATTACCCCCAATAGTGTACAAGTGTTCCTTTTTCTCCACAACCTTGTTAGCACCTGTTGTTTTTGACTTTTTAACAATAGCCATTCTGACTGGGGTGAGATGGTGTCTCATCATTGTTTTGATTTGCATTTCCCTAATGATTAGTTATACTGAGCATTTTTTTCACATGCTTGTTGGCCGCACAGAATATACATTCTTTTGAAGTGTCCATGCAACATATACCAAGTTGGACTATATCCAGGGCCATAAAACAAATATTGATAAATTTAAAAGAATATAAATTATACAGAATGTGTTCTCTGACTACATTGGAATCAAACTAGAAATAAATAACAGAAAGATGACAGAGGAAAGTCAAGAAACTAAGCGAAAACTTTTAAATACTCTACGAGTCAAAAAATAAATCTCAAAGGAAATTTAAAAATACACTGAATTGAAAGAAAATAAGAATACAACATATCAAAAATTTCTAGGAGAGACAACCCACAGAATGAGAGAAGATATTTGCAAACTACCCCTCTAACAAAGGATTAATAACTAGAATATATAAGGAGTTCAGACAACTCTATAGGAAAAAAGAGTTCAATAGTCCAAACAAAAAATGAGCTGATCTGAATAGACATTTCTCAAAAGAAGACATACAAATGGCAATCAGGCTTATGAAAGGTGCTCAACATTATGAATCATCAGAGAAATGCAAATCAGAAGTTCAATGAGATATTATCTCACTTCAGTTAAAATAGCTTGTATGCAGGCTGGACACGGTGGCTCACACCTGTAATCCCAGCACTGAGGGAGGCCGAGGCGGGCAGATCACCTGAGGTCAGGAGTTCAAGACCAGCCTGGCCAATATGGTGAAACCCTGTCTCTACTAAAAATACAAAAATTAGCTGGGCATGGTGGGCCATGCCTGTAGTCCCAACTACTTGGGAGGCTGAGGCAGAAGAATCGCTTGAACCTGGGAGATGGAGGTTGCAGTGAGCAGAGATTGGGCCACTGCACTCCAGCCTGGGCAACTGAGTAAGACTCCATCTCAAAAAAAAATGGCTTGTATCCAAAAGACAGGCAATAACAAGTACTGGTGAGTATGTGGAGAAGGCTTTGTACACTGTTGGCAGGAATATAAATTAGTACAACCACCATGGAGAACAGCTTGGAAGTTCCTCCAAAAAAATTAAAATTGAGCTACCATATGATCCAGCAATCCCACTGCTGGGAATATACCCGAAAGAAAGAAAATTAGTATTTCAAAGAGATATCTGCACTCCTATGTTAATTGCAGCATTGTTTACAATAGCTAAGACTTCGGAGCAACCTAAGTGTCTATCGACAGATGAATGGATAAAGAAAATGTGGTACATACATACAATGGAGTACTATTTAGCTAGAAAAAAGAATGATATCCAGTTATTTGCAACAACATAGATGGAACTGGAGATCATTATGTTAAGTGAAATAAGCCAGGTACAGAAAGACAAACATGACATGTTCTCATTTATTTGTGGGATCTAAAAATCAAAACAATTGAACTAATGGACATAGTGAGTAGAAGGATGGTTACCAGAGCCTGAGAAAAGTAGTGGATAGCTGAGCGGGGAGGTGGGGATGGTTAATGGGTACAAAAAAAGTAGAAAGAATGAATATGACCTACTATTTGATAGCACAATAGAGTGACTATAGTCAAAAATAACTTAATTGTATATTTTTAAGTTACTTAAAGAATGTAATTGAATTGTTTGTAACTCAAAGGATAAATGCTTGAGGGAATGGCTACCCCATTCTCCATGATTTGGTTATTTCACATTCCAGGCGTGTATCAAAACATCTCATGTACCCCATAAACATATACACCTACCATGAACCCACGAAATATTTTCAAAATAATAAAAAAAATTATAGGACACAGCTAAACCAGTGCTGAAAGGGAAATTTATAGCATTAAATGCATACATTAAAAAGAAGAAAAACTGGGTGCTACTTGGGAGGCTGAGGCAGGAAAGGATCACTTGAGCCCAGTAGTTCGAGGCCAGCCTGGGCAACATAAGGAGACCTTGTCTCTTTAAAAAAAAAAAAAAGTACACAAATTAATAATTCAAACTCTCATCTCAAGAGCCCAGAAAAAGAAGATCAAAATACATCCAAAGAAGAAAGGAAGGCCGAGCACTGTGGCTCACGCCTGTAATCCCAATAGTTTGGGAGGCCAAGGCAGGTGGATCACTTGAGCTCAGGAGTTAGAGACCAGCCTGCCCAACATGGTGAATCTCTGCTTCTACTAAAATTACAAAAAATTAGCCAAATGTGGTGGCAGGCGCTTGTAGTCCCAGCTACCTGGAAGGTTGAGGCAGGAGAATCACTTGAGCCCAGGAGGCGGAGGTTGTAGTGAGGTGAGATTGCACCACTGCACTCCAGCCTGGGCCACAGAGTGAGACACAAAAAGTTGCTTCTTTGAAAAGATCAGTCAACTGATGAACCTCTAGCAGACTACACTGACAAAGAAGAAAGAAAGAATATAGAAATGTCCACAGGGAATATCCCTACACACCCTGCAGACATCGGAAAAACATAAATGGTGCTGGAACAATTGAACATTCAAGGGCCATAGGAGGAGAGAAAGACAACAAGGAGGAAGAGAAGGAGGAGCAGCAGTTTAATCTAAGACTCATACCTTCTGCAAAAATTGACTCAATATGGATTACAAACTTCTATGCAAAATGTAAAACTATAAAACTTTTAGAATAAGATAGGGGAAAATCTTCTGAATCTAGATCTGGGCAACAAGTTCTTAGATTTGACACCAAAAACATGATCTGTAAAATGAAAAAATGGATATATTAGACCTGATTAAAACTAAAAACTGTTGCTCTGTGAAAGACTTGTAAAGGAATGAAAAGGCAAGCTACATAATGGAAGAAAATATTTGCAAATCATGTATCCAAAAAAGGACTAGTATCTAGAATATATAACAACTTATCAAAACTCAGGCCAGGCCCCCTGGCTCATGCCTGTAATCCCAGCACTTTGGGAGGCTGAGGCGAGTGGATGACTTGAGGTCAGGAGTTTGAGACCAGCCTAGCCAACATGGTGAAACTCTGTCTCTACTAAAAATACTAAAAATTAGCTGGGCGTTGTGGCACACGCCTGTAATCCCAGGAGGTAGAGGTTGGGGTGAGCCGAGGTCATGCCACTGCACTCTAGCCTGAGTGACAGAGTAAGACTCCATCTCAGAAAAAAAAAGAAAAAAAATCAACAGTTTGAAAAAAATTAATTAGAAAATGGGAAAAATTCATGAAGAGACATTTCATTAAAAGGATATACAGATGGCAAATAAGCACATGAAAAGATGTTCGATATCATTAGCCATTAAGGAAACGCAAATTAAAACCACAATAAGATCTCACTACACACATATTAGAATGGCTGAAATAAAAAATAGTGACAATAAGCCAGGCGCAGTGGCTCATGCCTGTAATCCCAGAACTTTGGGAGGCTGAGGCAGGCGGATCATGAGGACAGGAGATTGAGACCATCCTGGCTAACATGGTGAAACCCCATCTCTACTAAAAATACAAAAAATTAGCCGGGCGTGGTGGCGGGCGCCTATAGTCCCAGCTACTTGGGAGGCTGAGGCAGGAGAATGGCGCGAACCCGGGAGGTGGAGCTTGCAGTGAGCCAAGATCGCACCACTGCACTCCAGCCTGGGCAACAGTGCAAGACTCCATCTCAAAAAAAATAAAAAAAATAGTGACAATACCAAATGCCTGTGAGGATGCAGTAAAACAATCACTCGCACATTGCTGGTGCAACCACTCTGGAAAACACTTTGACAGTTTATTTAAAAAACTAAAAATGCAACCACCATACAATTCAGCAGGTACACTCCTGGGCATTTGCTCCAGAGACATTAAGACTTATGTCCACACAAAAACTTATATTCATATCAGCCAAATCTGGAAACAACCCAGATGTGATGGACAGATGGCTAAACTAACTGTGCTATACCCATACCATATAATACAACTAGGCAATAATAAATTATTGATATATGCAACAACCTTGTATGATCTCCAGAGAAATACATTGAGAGAAAAAAAAGTCAATCCCAAAAGTGTATATACTATATGTTTCCATTTATTAATCATTTGTTTTAAAATGACAAAAAAAAATTTGTCTTGAAGTGACAAAGTCATAGAAATGGATAAGAGATTAGTGATTGCTAGACATTAAGGAGGGTATGGGATGGTAGGGAAGTGGGTGTGTCTAGAAAAGGGCAAGGTGAAGAATCCTTGTGATCATAGAAGTGTTCTGTATTGTGGCTGTATCCATGTATCCTAATTGTGATATTGTACCATAGTTTTGCAAAATGTTACCATCAAGGGAAACTGGGTAAAGGATACACAGGATTGTTTTTATTATTTCTTACCACTGCATGTGAATCTACAATATACAGCAAAATTTATACTTAATGGAGAATATTTAGGTTTATTTCCTTTAAGAGTAATGCTCATTATCACCCTACTGTTTGACACAGCATTGAAGATCCTAGTCAACAACATGAAAAATAAAACACTAAGGATTAAGAGGGAAAACACAAAACAATGCTCGCAGATGATACTATTATCTACCTGGAAAAAGAGAGAGACAGAGAGAATATCAATAACAACAATGACAACAACAACAACAAAAACCCCACTAAAACCAATAAGAGGATCGAGCAAGGTTGTCCCATATAAGATCAACTTACAAAAATTATTAATTTCTAATATTTGAAAATCATATATCAGTATTTGAATATCATATATCCAATAAAGGGTTAATATTCAGAATATGTAAAGAACTCATAAAACCCAACAATAATTGTTTATACAAACAGTTAAAAAGGGGGCAACAAACTTCAACAGACATTTTTCCAAAGATGATATACAAGTGGCAAACACACATATGAAAAGATGCTCAGCATTACTTATTATTAGAGAAGTGCAAATTAAAACCATAACATCATCTAATTCTCATTAGCATGGCTACTATAAAAATGAAAGGAAAAAGGAAAGAAGGGAGGGAATGAAGGAGGGAGCAAATGAAGGAGGAAAGGAAAGAAGGAAGGAAGGAAGGAAGGGAGAGAGGGAGGGAAGAAATAAGTGTTGGTGAGGATGTAGAGACATTAGAACCTTTATATGCAATGTTCGTGGGATTGTAAAATGTGTAACTGCTATGGGAAACAGTACGGCAGTTCCTCAAAAAATCAGTAGTAAAACTACTATATGACCCAAGAGTCCACTTCTGGGTATAAATGCAAAAGAATTGAAAGCAGGGACTTAAGCAGATATTTTCCCCCATATTCATAGCAGCACTATTCTCGATAGCCAAGAGGTGGAAGCAACAAAGATGTCCATAGACAGATGAATGGGCAAACAAAATATGGCATATACATACAGTAGCTTATTATTCAGCCTAAAAAGGAAGAAAGCACTCTTACATGCTGCAACAAGTATGAATTTTAAGGACATTAAGCTAAGTGAAATAAGCCAATCGCCAAAAGACAAAAACTCCATGATTGCACTTGTACAGGGTATCTGAAGTAGTCAGATTCATAGAAACAGAATGTAGAGTGATAGTAGCCAGGGGCTAGAGGAAGAGAGAAATGAGGAGTTGTTGTTTAATGGGTGTAGAGTTCTGGTTTTGCAAGGTGAAAAGGAGTTCTGGAGATTGGTTGCACAAAAATGTGAATATACTTAACACTGCTGAGCTGTACACTTCAAAGTGGTTAAGACGGTAAATGTTATTTTTTTAACCACAATTTTTTAAATTAGATACATTCTTCTACATCAGAAATTACTGATTCAAAAGTAGAATTGCAATAAGATACCAATCACAATAGCAGCAAAAGCTACAACATGCCTAAGAATTAACTGAGCATACTCAGGACTACTATGAAAAAGTAAAGTTTAAAAACCATAATAAAGAGCAAACAAAATGATTTCAATAAATGAGAAAACATCCTGTTTTTGCATGGTATGATTTAGTAATAAAAACAAGTCAGTTAACCCCAAATTTCTATAAATTCAGTATAACCACAATCAAAATTCAAGTGGGGAAGACAGAACTAGAAGTGAGTGTCCTCCCAAACTCCCCAGTAGGAAACTACAAACTTAGTTTCTGTTGCTACTATGCGCTTGTCATTGTCCAAGGCCAAAAGAAGCCCAGATTTTGCACCTCTCTCTCCACCCCACAACATTGACGTTTTTCCTTCTTGTTGTGAATGTACTTCCTGTCCTCCATCTGTCCTTCTGGACCCACTCTCAATACTTCTGCACCTGGGGTCTGCCTCAGGTGCTGACCTGCATGACATTGAATGGCTCCCATGCTCCCTGGCTTCTTCTTGCTTCCAGCATCAGCCTAAGAGCAGAGGGAAGAGGGGAGTGAGGTCAGTGTTTCTAATCCCTTGGCTTCCTCCCTACAAGGTCACCTTAAGCTGTTGTGTCCCTTGACTGAAGGGCACTGCCCTTGGCAAGGTGGTGACTGTACAGGGCTTGCTGTCCTTCTGAGTCCTGATAACCCCTTCTGTCCCCGGCCTCTTTGGACCTTGGGGTAGTAACAGCTATCCTCCACCCAGTTCTTTGTAAATACTTTGCTAATAAATAAACTTTCCTTGAAATGTCCTATTTCGAGTATGCCATCTGTTTTCTGTTGAGACTCTGATACAATAAAAGCCATTTCTTTATTCCCTGCCCCAGACCAGCACGGCCAGGGGCCTCTTGGAAGCCTCATATGAAATGGAAGAGGAAGGGTCTGGAGAAACAAGGAGCCCCCCATCTGGGAGTAGTCTCTATAGGTTTGGGGCCTCTCCACTCTCTGAAACCCCTGGAGACTGGTCTGGCCAAGTAGTGGCAGGAAGCACCACGGAGAAATCCCCCATGCCTTGCTTCAAGGCAGTTGGAGGGCTCTTGGGAATGACAGACACTCAAGCCAAAAAAAAAAAAGGATTTGAGGATGGGGTTGAACTCCACCCTCGTTTTTCATCTGATTTGCCCAATTTTACTTTGGAAAGAGAAAAACTTGAGAAAATGGCCTAAAGATAATTTTCATAAATAGACATTGGGATTAAATGTCAATCTTGTCTGTTTCTTTCACATGCATGTGTTCGTGGGTAGGGAGGCAAAGAGAACCTGGAACCTAGGAACATGCTCTCCCTCAGGGAAAAAAAAAATGCCAAGGATACCACCTCCCGTGGTGTATTTGAGATTTATTCTCATTGTCTTTAATGGTCAAAAGAAGAAGCTCAAATGTGGGGTCAACGCGTTTCTCTAAAATATTGTTATCTGCCCCAAGTGTTGAAGGAACTCCCTGCACTGTGTGTGCCCTTGTTAACACAGGCCCAGTTCTTTCATGGGAGGGGAGGTGGACTAGATGACCTTTAAAACCAATTCTAGCTCCAAGTTCAGCTTTTAAAACAACAAGACATTGAAGGGCGAAAACAATTCTTTGTGCAGCTTGGATTATGTATAACCCGAAAGTCCAGCTCTCTCTCTCTTCCCCCGCTCCCCTCCCTCCCTCTCTCTATGTCCCTCTCCTTCTTTCTCCCACTCCACTTCTCTCCTCTCACCCTTTTGCTCCCTCTCTCTTACTCTCTTCCACTCCTTCTCTTTTTTTCCTCTCTTTCTCTCACATGTGCTCAAGTGCACACACACACACACACACACACGCACTCCTTTTTTGGCAATCCATTATGTTTACATTCCATTCTCCTCATGCAGCATCCATTCTCTTCTCCTCATCCTCCTACAATTGGTGCACCATCACCCTTCTTCCACCTTCCTTTCAAGTACCACTCATTCCCCTGTGTAAGAACTCCCCTTTCTACCTATAGTATTCTGACTTTCTGGATCCTAGCAGACCTACATATACTTTTCCCTATTCCTTACCTGGAAGGGGACAGCCTTTCCTATAAAACAAAAAACCTACAAAGTTAGGGCAGAGAAAAGCCTGCACTGGAAATCTCTAGAAAAGGAACTGGAAGCCGTCCCATTAGCTAACTCTCTACTTCCTTTCTCTGGGATCCTGCCACTTTGATTCCCACTGCTGTGACTAGAACTAGACCCTTCAGATCTGCAGCTTCTCCTTTAAAACTGTCCAGATAGGCCTAGTGCGGTGGCTCACGCCTGTAATCCCAGCACTTTGGGAGGCTGAGGCAGGTGGATCACTTGAGGTCAGGAGATCGAGACCAGCCTGACCAACATGGTGAAACCCCATCCCTACTAAGAAAATACAAAATTAGCCAGGCATGGTGGTGCACGCCTGTAATCTCAGCTACTTGGGAGGCTGAGGCAGGAGAATCGCTTGAACATGGGAGGCAGAAGTTGCAATAAGCCGAGATCACGCCATTGCACTCCAGCCTGGGCAACAAGAGCAAAACTCTGTCTCGAAAAAAAATAAATAAATAAAATAAAAATAATAAATAAAACTGCCCAGATATAGACAAGGCCCAAAGCCCCCCATTCCTAGACTAAACTAGAATTTCAAAAGGAATTTGCTTTGTCAAACAAACAAAAATAAAAACAAAAACAGTGAATAGAAAAAAATGAAAATGAAACATAAAAATGGTAAAATGTAGAGATTAAGTTCCTTCCACTGACTTCTTCTGTTAACCCCTTCCAGAAGAGATGCTCTAATTCCAAGGATGCTTCTGAAGAAATTATGGAGGTGTTCCAAATCAACTCATTTCTTGGTTTCTTTTTCTTACCCATATTCTAGTATCTAGCTCTAATTCCAAAAACAATTCCACACCCTAGGTTTCTGTGTCCAGCAGGTGTCGCCCTTCGTGGGACAACAAACCACCAGCCAGCATCCTCTCTTCCTTAGGGTGGAGTCCATTCCCCCAAAGGGCTCTCCTTGGTCTTGGGGTAGAAGGGAATGGAACGGTGGCTCTGAAGAGATGTGTGCTCACCAGCATGAGGGTCTTCAGAATAAAGTAATCTGCTACTTCCAGCTCAGGTAGACAAACATCCTACAGAAATCTGTTCTTTGACCTTGGACAAGTCACTTAAATGTCTCTGAGCCTCACATCTTTTGTCTGTAACATAGAGGGAAACAATCTGTCCCTTGTGTGGTTATTGTGAGAAGAGAATGAGCTACAAATATAAAGGTCTGAGACCAGTGCCTAAGACATAATAATCACTCAAGCTATGTTCCCTTCTGCATTCAGGGTATGGAAGAAATAACTGTCTAGAACTCAATCTGGAGTTAAGCTCTGTCCCCTGAATCCTGAGGGGTATGAGGGGTCTGCCTTACGGTTGTGATGAGGATCAAAGCACCTGGTACAATGCCTGGCCAGAAAGTTGAATAATCGAATATAGCTAACGTCACTATTGCAGGCTGGCTATGTGCCTGGCGGTGTTCTTAGCCATTTACAAGTATGAACTCATTTAATCCTCATAAGATCCTGTATGAGGTGAGTAAGCTGTTAATTCCCTTCCTTGCCCATACTCTGTGACTCCAACCCACCACAGTTGAATTTCTCCTTATGAATTATAAATCAGAAAACGGCCCCAAATTCTGTCATGTCTAAGTGGGAAAATGGAAGAAGGCATTGATTTCTCCCCTACTCAAGCAGAAGAGAATTAACCTCAGTCCCTGCTTTGCCCATATTCCTTCCCCAGGGCCCCAGGAAGAAGACATGGAAAAACAATATTTCCACCAAAGTTTATTTCTCTGAAACAATCACCAGTTGCTGTCCTCTATGGCACACTGAGAGCCCCAGGAGGGTCTTTAACTCCCTTCCTCAGATTATATTCATCCCAGAAATATAGCCTTGGACAATAATTTGGTTACAGCATAGTCCCAGGAATGAGGTCCCCCAAGTTGCTAAGTTTTACATAGGGGAGACTGGGAAATTCAAAGAATTGGATGGAGAAACCATAGGATCCAAGATAATGTCAGGGGGTTGAAGATGTTGGAGAGGCATGGTAGCATCATTGAGTTTGAATCTCCTTCTCACTTGGAGTGGAAGTTGTAGGATTCTGCCTCTAGGAAATGTGCCATCCTACAGAATAAATAAAAGGGAGATAATGAGGCTTCAACCCAACTTGCCCCCATCGTTTGTCACTGTAACCATCCCATGCCTTAATACAGTGATACTGAAAACTCCAGGGCACCAACAACTAATACAAAGGAAGCACCTTCAGCCTCCTCTCCACAGACATCCCACTTGGTAGAAGAGGAGGATGCTCCTTCCTGCTCTTAATCCTAGCAATGGCAGCTTAAATCATGCCCTTGCCTAGATCCTCATGGAAGCTCACCCATATAATAATCAAGATTAGTTGAACCCAACACTGACCCCTCTAACCCGCACCCCTACCAAAGGGCAAGTAGGGAAACAGACCAACAGAGATGTTACCTTCTGAATAATTGGACCCAGGAAGAGGAGTGTAACCTAAGAGAGGAAGATACTTGATTATACCAGTCTTTGTGGATGAAAATATCTAGCAGTATTCATAGCAAATGCAGTAGGAAGGAGAGAGTTAATCACAAACAGAAAGTAAGCAGAGAGTGGGACCAAGAGTGGGGATGGGAGTTCAGCGAGTCACTCACTAGAGTGGCCAGCTCTCCGCCAGCTGATCACACCAAGAGAGAAGATGATGAGGCCCAGGCCCAGAGTCACTGCAGACACAGAAACCTTCAGGGTCTGCATGGGGGACAGCCCAGGTGCTGCAAAAAATAGAAACTTACTTGACCCAGTTTCTGTTGCTCACCCCCAGGGCAATTCCATTTATTGCAGCCACCTCTCAGTGGGTTAAAAGGTCCTTTATCCCAGCTCCAAGGGTCTAGCTCACACCACCCACTCCCAAGAAAATGATCTTTCTCAAATCAAACCCTCGTCCCATGGACCTCTACTCCTAGAGTAAGCCTGGGGAATCCATCTCCCCAGAATTAGCATCCTGGCTTCCAGGTCCTCTCTAATACAGTGGGGCCTCTCAAGGCATCCTCTTTCCTTCCTTTACCTCAAAGCCACCCTTATCAGGATAAAGGGCTCCTCACTGTCCTCTCCATTGCCCCCACGGTAACAATGTTTGCTTCCTTACTTTCTCCAACTGAGCAGCTTCCTATTACACTGTCTTACCACATGTCTTAACCTCCAGTGGATCCATCCTGTGAGTTATCCTACTACTTGTGTACCTTCTACATCTAGATCTCCCATGTGTCCTTTCAGAGCTTGTCTCCATCCCACTCCACAGCCCCTGCACTTCCTTGGGCCGGTCCTGTTCTGAATCATGTCCCACTCAGATTCTTTTCCCATGATAAAATGAACACTCCATTTCTAAAGGGAGGCTCTTGTGCACGCTGTGAGGAGACGTTCCCCAGGAAAGTTCAAGTGAGCATGTGATTTCCACTCTCTTCTCTGTTCTCCATTCCCTTCCCAACTGCCCAGCAAGAAACAACACTTCCCACAAGGGGAAACCTGGTTACAGCAGCTGATCTGAGATCCTGTTCTCTGGCCCTTTGTAGACACCCTTCCTCTTCCTCATTTCTTCCTCTTTCTTTTCCAAGAGTCCCCAAAGCTGTGTGCAACTTCTCACGATACCTTTAACTACTCCCGACACTGAGTTCAAACAGTGTTTGAACTGTAAGTAATTCTTTATCCACTGGCCCCTGAGCATGCATGCCAAATGGTCTGCCAGCCGTGGCTTTACTACTCCCGTATGCTTGGTAGAGCAGGCCAAATGCAGTACTGCCCCACACCAAGAAAAGCCCCCCTTCTTCAACCTTCATCATTCCTTCAGCTCCCATCTGCTTCTGGCACCAGAATAGTTGAAATCTAAGGAGGCTAGAATAGTGTATTACAATTTGGGGTTCTGAAAATATGATTGCCAAATTTACATCCTCATTTCAAAGCAAGCACGCTCCCCTCTCACCCTCAAACATAGACGCAGCAACATCAACCACACCACCAGAGCAGCAATAGCACAGACTAAATATTAAACTGGTGCAAAAGTAATTGCGGTTTTTGCCACTGAAAGTAATGGCAAAAACTGCAATTACTTTTGCACCAACCTAAATATTTCCATTTCTTTATCCCATTTCCCCATTCTGGTCCTAAGCCCCCCGTAAGTTCCTCCAGACTCAGTCCCCATTTTCAGCACTTCGCTGTCTACCATGTACCATGTATCGATCCACATCTCATTTTCTCTGCTTTGACCCTAATTCCATCCATCTGCCATACACTTACTCCAGTCCCGAAGGATGGGCTCAGGAGCCCCAATGTGCTCTACCACACAGGTGTAAGTGTCCCCGTAAGAGGGGGTTAAGGCTAAATGGGAGAGGGTCTGGTATGTCCAGTCTCCATTGGGCTGGGCAGTCTTGTGCGCACTGCTGTGAGGCATGACAAGCTTCCCGTTCTTCCTCCACGTGATAGTCACTTCTGCTGGATAGAAGCCCCACACATAGCAGGCCAGCATCACAGGCTCCCTCGTGTTAAAAGGAGTGGTTTTGGCTACTTGCACAGATGGTGGCCCTGCATAGGAGAAAAAAACATGTTTAGGAAGGAGGGTGACATTCTGGCTGCTTCCTCAACCTGGTTTCTTCCCTATCGCAACTCTTCGTAGATTTTGCAACCCACTTTCCACCCCAGCCCCCTCTGCCATGCTGCCCCTTGAAGGGGAACCGTTAGAATGTATTCCTGCATTACTCTTTCTTCTCTCCCATTCCTTCATTGCCCCTTTCTTTCTTTCCTCCTCCAGAATTATGTTTGATTACAATTAGTAAAAGCCAGATCTGAACTGCAAGCTGTTCTAGAAGTTGTTGTATTTATTTCAAGTACATAAACTGGAAAGTATTTGAAATAAGGAAGCTAAGAGTAATCCAGAGTTGTACATTGGGTTTTTTTAAGGTGGAAAAGGAATTTTTCTCCAAATCTTGTTTAATACGTTCTTTTGCTAGTTAAAGCTTTTTCTCCTCACATAGTTCAAGGAAACAAGCCTAACTTAGGACTCACTCTTAAATTTGGAATGAATGTAGTCAAACTAAAGAGATTGCTAATACTGCCATCTTTTACTAATTTACTCTCCTAGGTGATCCTCTTGCTTGCCTCTATCTTGACATTTTTCAAACACAATCTTAAATAAAAATCCAAGGAATTATGTTAAAATGCAGATTTCCTAGGCTGTATCCCCAGATACTTTCTTTCAACAGATCTGGAGTGGTACTAAGGGGCTTGCATCTTTAACAAGCACCTCCTCCAGGCAATTCTGAGAAAGGTGGTTCAGAAACCACCCTTGAGACACACTGTTCTGTACTGTGGAGATCTTCAAGTTTACTTTCACAAACTTCAAGCCATTGTCAATGCAAGAGTTTAAGGGTGAGAAAAAGCATGTGTCAGAATCCCCTGGGATTCCAAATATTCCCATGCCTGGGCCCACATCAGATCTGGAACATCAAAATCTGGGATAACAAGGCAAGAACATCTTGGGTATGCATCCTGAGATGCCCCAGCCTCTGCATAAGCTCCCCACATGGCACCTCGCGGTTCAAGCCTCACCTCCCCTTCTTTACTCCTGTTCCACTCACGTCAGCCACCTTGTTCCCCTTGAGGTTCAATCCTCCGTCTTTCTACATTTCAGATCCACACATTTTCTCTTATTTGCTGCTCAAATCTCAAACCCCTGGGCCACTGTGGGATCCTCCCTGGCCTGCCCTCCTAACTGCACTTCCTGGTAGCCCCTCTGCACCCCTCTCTCCTCACGTGTCCTGTTGGTCAGTGATCCCCAGAAGGGCTGGGTGTGTGTGGCACAATTCTGAAGCCCATTGCGCAAGCGCTGCATCAGGGTGTCTTTTTGGTTGAGGTGCTGTGAGAGGACATTCGCCAAGCTATTCAGCACCCCAAATTCGCAAGGGGCCATCTTATTCTCCTCTGGATCCCAGCAGGTCAGCAGATCCTTGTTGAAGGAGATGCAGTATGTGAAATCCTTTGGAGTCCCAGCATCATCCAACAGACAGGTGCTTTCCACATGGGCCACGAAGCCACCTAGAGGAGCCAGGGAAGGGAGAACAGGTCAATGTCTTCTACTGGCCTGGCAATAAATAAATAAATATATAAATAATAAATATACACAAATAATAAATATATAAAACATACAGACGTATATTTAGGAGCTCTGCACAGAGCTTTGTCTTTGACCCTGGTTCCTGACATAGAGTGCCTAATCGCTTAGAATTTCCTAGATAACAGGAGTGTCTTTTGTTCTAATGAGGTACTCTTGGTGGGCTCCTGCAGGAGGGGCTGGTCACCAGAAAGACCAAGTCATGATTAGAAGTCTGGAACTTTTAGTCCCATCCCCCATACTCCCTGAAGGGGAAGGGGCTGGAGATTGAGTTAATAATCAGTCATGCCTACATGATGAAGCCTCCATAAAAATCCCGGAACTATGGAGTTCAGAGAACTTCTCAGTTGGTAAACACATCCACATGCCAGGAGGTGAAGTACCCCAATTCTGTGGGGACAGAGCTCCTGTGATTGGGACCCTTCCAGATCTGGTATCTCTTCATCTGGATGTTCCTTTGTATGCTTTAAAATATCCTTTGTTAAAGGATGCAAAATTATGATCTAGTGTTCTATACCACTGTGGGATGACTGTCATTAACAATAATACTTTATATCATTTCAAATCGCTAGAAGAAGGATATGGAATGTTTCCAACACAAAGAAATGATAAATGAGATGATGATCTGATCTGATCACTGTACATTACATGTACTAAAACATCATTATCCACCCCATGAATATTTATAATTATTATTATCAATTAAAATATCCTTTGTAAAAAATCTACAATAATAAGTAAACTTTTCCTGAGTTCCATAAGCCACTTTAGCAAATTACCAACCCCAAGGAGGGGGTCATGGGAACCTCTGATTTGTAGGCAAGTTGGACAGAAGATGTGGGTAATTTGGGAACCTACTACTTGTGATTGGTGTCTGAAATGGAGGCAGTCTTATGGGACTGAGTCTTTAACCTTTGGTGTCTATGTTAACTCTAGTTAATGTCACAATGGAATTGAATTATAGGATATCCAGCTAATATAGGAGAATTGGTTGGTATGAGTAAAAAAAAAAAAAAAACCTCACACAGTTGGTCAAAGAAGTGTTGAGTGTGAGCATATAGAAGAAAAAAAGTTGATTTTTCCTATATTCAGCTCAGAACCTAAGCCTTGGTGACATCCAGCTAGTCTGGCACAGATTTCCTGCTCAGGGAACATCTACTGACCAAGCTCATACACTGAAGTTTCTGAAAGTCTGATTTGAGGGAGTCAGTAGAAGTAGTAGATAAGTTTTTAGATCCAGTCTCCTCTTTATGCAAGACTAAGCACAGGGATAGGAGTAGCCCCCCGAGATTATTTGCATGTTTAAACATGACAATTTGCCCAGAACACAGACCTTCAGTAAGGCAAATTATTGAGAGAGAAAAAGGGTCAAGAGAAAGAGTCAGCCTTGTATTGTGCTGGAAATATTAAATATTCACTTCGCACATATTTATGAAGCACTTGCTGCATGCAAGGCACTGTGCTAGGAGCTGAGGAGGCAGCAATAAATAAGATGAACATTGTCCTTGCCTATATTCCAGCAGGGAATATACACTGCACAGATAATTATACAGATTAATTACATTAAAATTGCTACAAAGTACAAAGTGCTATAGGAATGTATACCAGGGAGACAAACTATCTGGGGTGTCAAATGCAATTACAAAACGGAACACCCTTACCCTGAAACAGGAGCAGGGGAAGGGAGAGTCCCCAGAAGAAGTGTCCTTACCTGCTCCTGTGCAGCCCAGGCTGAGCCCCAGCAGCAGCGGCAGGAATGTGATCATGCTCTGCTCTGTAAAGATGCCGGGAGTTCAGTCCCCTGGACCAGCTCTTCCAGGGTCCGTGGGTCCTCGCCTGTCCCAGAAGCCCCAGCCTGGGTAGATGATCTCCAGACACTGAGCAGAATACTATATTGCCCGGGTCCCTTGACCCCCCAAATGAGTGATGTGGGGATACCCAGCCCCTAGATATTAAATCTGTTCCTTCCAGCTCACGGGAGTCCAGTGTCCCAAACAGGGACAGATTGGCTAGGTAGGCAGGGACAAATGTAGAGACAAATCACTGAGTGCCTCAGCCTAGCATCATCAGTTACTAGGTAAACGTCATCCTGCCTTAGTCTTAGACAACAGGTCTCCTTGTCTCTCTTAATTCTTTTTCTGCAGAACAACCAGTAGATTTCCGTAGATTACTGGAGAGAATAATCGCAATATTCCCAGGATGTATGCAGCCTGGGCTGCCCACTGGTTTAACTTTTTCTTCTCAATGCTCTCCCAAAAGACCAGGACCAGATAACCTCTCCTATTCCTTACAGGGAGGTTACCCAAGAAGATAATTACAAAAACCCTTGTCTGTCCTGAGATGAGAGGACCCAGAGCCCTTCTGGGGCAGGTGGCAGAGGCAGGGCTGCTGAGAAGGAAGAAGGCACAGACAGAGTACAGAATTGTCTGGTCTCAAAGCAAGACTGCAGAATAAGGGAAGCAGCGCCACCATGGAGATCAGGAATAGGGGCCTGGAAAATCCCTCCATGGGCCTCCATTGTTGCTTCTGTTCTAGCCAGTCAAGCTTCATTTCCTCCTCAGTTATAATAGCTGCTTTCCGGAGCTAGTAAACCATATCCTCCTACACTCTGAGCAATCTCACGGGGTAGACCGCAGGTTAACACCTCTCAGACTCCTTGAAAAATAGCTGGTGACGGGTCAGTGCCCAGAGCTCACCTGCCTTTCGCCAAACTCTAAACACCCCTGTGTGTTTCCCCTACTATACCCTGTTCCCTGGGGGCAGGTCCCTGCATTATGAAGCCACTAGGAAAATGAGATAAAGCTTTCCTACTTTTCTTCCCCTGAAAAGACAGATTTTGTTTTTTATTTTTTGAGAATACCAAGTAAGATTTTATTTTTTATTTATTTTAAATTATTTTAACCTTTGTTTTAGGTTCAAGGGTACACATGCAGGTTTGTTATATAGGTAAATTGTGTGTCATCGGGATTTGGCGTAAAAATTTATTTCATCACCCAGGTAATAAGTATAGTATCTGATAGGTAGTGTTTTGATCCTCTCCCTCCTCCCATCCTCCACCCTCAAGTAGGGCCCAGTGTCTATTATTCCCTTTTTTGTGTCCATGTGTACTCAATGTTTAGCTCCCACTTATAAAAGTGAGAACATGCAGTATTTCATTTTCTGCTCCTGTGTTAGTTTGCCTAGGATAACAGCCCCCAGCTCCATCCATGATGCTGCAAAAGACGTGATCTCGTCCTTTTTTGTCTGTGGAGTATTCCATGGTGTATATGTACCACATTTTCTTTATACAGTCTACTGTTGGTGGGCATTTAGGCTGATTCCATGTCTTTGCTATTATGAATACTGCTGCAGTGAGCATTCATGTGCATGTGTCCTTATGGTAGAACAATGTATACTCCTTTGGGTATATGCCTAATAATGGGATTCCTGGGACGAATGGTAGCTCTGTTTTAAGGTTCTTGAGAAATTGCCAAACTGCTTTCCTCAATGGCTGAACTAATTTATGTTCCCACCAGCAGTGTATAAGCCTTCCGTTTTCTCTGCAACCTCTCCAACATTTGTTATTTTTTGACTTTTTAATAATAGCCATTCTGACTGGTGTGAGACGGTATCTCATTATGATTTTGATTTGCATTTTTCTAATCATTAGTAATGTTGAACATTGTTTCATATGCTTCTTGGTCACGTGTGTGTCTTGAAAAGGCAGATTTTATGTATTTGCGTATTTATTTTTTTCACAGGTTTTTTTTTTGAAAGTCTCACTCTGTCGCCTAGGCTGGAGTACAGTGGGATAATCTCGGCTCACTGCAATCTTCGCCTCCTGGGTTCAAATGACTCTCATGCCTCAGCCACTTGAGTAGCTGGGGTTACAGTCATGTGCCACCACTCCTGGTTAGTTTTTGTCTTTTTTTTTTTTTTGGTAGAGACAGGGTTTCATCATGTTGGCCAGGCTGTTCTTGAACTCCTGACCTCAAGTGATCCACCCACCTCAGCCTCCTAAAGTGCTAGGATTACAGGCATGAGCCATCGTGCCTGGCCTGAAAAAGCAGATTTTAAACGGCAATTCATTCTTCTATCCCATTGTGAACTATACAGTTGATGGATTTTCCATCACTAACTTGAAACTCTAAATTGGCTTCCTTCTGCTCCCCAGTAGGTTTCAGGGCTGCCTCTTCACATCTTAGTTTCTGAGAACTCTTGGATTTTATTAAATAGTGAGCTAAACAAAACAGGATTGTGGAAGGGGCCCCTTGACACCACACTTACCTGCCCTCCCTCAAAGTCCCTGATCTCAGGAAAATCTAACACCTATGAAGAAAATGGGGATAAAAAATGCATACAAAGATTATTACCAAAAACGAAAGATTCGTTGTGTAACTAATTGAGATTAACTGAAGCTCTGCCATAGCTCCCAGCCACTGCCCCCACTCACCTTGCTTATATACTCTAACTCTGCTAACGAACTGTCAAGTGTGTTGGAATGGGCAGAATATGGGGTGGGGAGTGCATAATCTGTAGAGCTTCTACAGATACAGTGCTAGGTAGGTCCTTTCTATAATATCTCATCTCATCTTAAAAGACTTGTTGGCCGGGCATGGTGGCTCACGCTTGTAATCCCAGCACTTTGGGAGGCTGAGGAAGGCATATCACCTGAGGTCAGGAGTTTGAGACCAGCCTGGCAAACATGGTGAAACCCCGTCTCTACAAAAAATACAAAAATTAGCTGGGTGTGGTGGCGCGTGCCTGTAATCCCAGCTACTCTGGAGGCTGAGGCAGGAGAATCGATTGAACCTGGGAGGTGGAGGTTGCAGTGAGCCGAGATCGTGCCACTGCACTCCAGCCTGGGTGACAGAATGAGACTGTCTCAAAAAAAAAAAAAAAAAAAAAAAACTTGTTAATTGTCCTCATTTCCCAGGTTGGAAAACAGGTCCAAAGATTCACACCCAAGGTCTAAAGGCTGTAACTCCTCTTCTTATACAGCTGTTACACATGCACGTGTGTACACACACACACACATACACACTCTCTTGAGCATGCCCACACACTCACTACATCTTGGAACTGGGATGGCTCAAATAAAGGGAGTTAGTGAGGCCTCCGCTGAGAAAGAGAGAAAGAGAAGAGTCACAATCCATAACCCAATTCACCCAAGTCTTATCTTTCCTGTCCTCAGAGTTCCTTCTGCTCTGAGAACCACCGTCCCTTCCACTTTCTCTTTTGACAAGTTTCAAAACTGAATTTTCCCCCACACCCCCCCAATACATTTCCCCCTCACATTCCTCCCCATCCTGCCCAGGTAAGCTGTTAGCCTAACCTTATAGGAACCAAGTCCTGGGATCCTTTTCAATGTCTACAAAGCCTAGCCCTGGCAAGGGAGCACTGGCTGTGTGGTCCTGTGCCAGCACTGAACATGGCCCTAGCCAGTAACAGTGGGGCTGAATGTAGTTCCCTCTTATGTCTAGATCTCTGCTCCGGCAGTCAAAGGAGATGTGAAACCTTCTGTGAGGCCACAACAGGAAATGGTAGGAGAGGATTTCACTTCTCTATTAATTCAAACACTGAGGGAGCTTTTTAGAATAAAGAAGGACAGAAAACCCAGACACCTGTGCTCAGCAGTGTTTTCCTTCCTCTCCTCCTCCCAACCCTTCCATTTTTACAGATATAGCTCTGTCTTTCCACCTCTAGCCAATTCAAAATAACATTTCAGTTGCTCTGTCCATTGTTACTTATTTGTTAATTATTGATATAGCACCGGGACCGAAGAGGTATGGAGCCCCAACCAGGTTCCCACATGTTGCCTTTCTTTTATTGCCTCTACACAACCACCCAAAGAGTGAGTCCTCTCCTTTCCCATTGCCTCTGCCCTTAGCCTGACCACCACATGCCTGCAGTAAACTAGTCCCAGGGTTTGTGTGCAAAGCATTACTGGGAAAATACAGAGTGAGAAGATATGGATTCTGCCCCCATATCGCTTTGCTTGTACGTCAATTGGGGAGTGAGAACAAACACTTTAAATAGTTTATATTAAAGTAAGTAAGCAATAAGGCCAGTGGTCTTAAAAGAGAAGAGAGAAATCACCATGGACATGGTAGACAGGGAGTACTCTCAGTCGAGAGGGCCTGGAATGAGCCTTGAATACTGGGCTGGATTTGTGTTGGAGAGGAGGAAGGCAGTTGGCATTGTAGGTCTGGTGTATAGCTCCACAAGCTTGACAATGCTGTGAGGTGCCATCAGGGAGGAGGTGTCCTACGAGAGCCTGGGTTAGCTAAAACAAAGACAAGCTACAATAACGTCACTGGCACTGCACGTTGGAGGAAGTCACAAATGTGATTTCTTGTTTTTTTCTGAGAGTATGGCCATAATAATAAATCTCTTCTAGGCACTTCCTAAAGTTGCTCCATGTCAGTTCGCAGGTTCTTGGGGCAGACGGTTTTAACTGAAGTCTCCATTTTATAAACACAAAATTGCTCAACCAGTTAATCACGCCTCATAGCATAAGACCACATTCGTGACTTCAGTGTCTTTTCAAAACTACACACACCTACATCCTGCCAAGATTATATTACTTGCCCAATCTGTCCAATCCCCACCCCACCCCTGCCATCTACCCCTTACCTCACCTCCGCCCACACACACACCCTCCTACCCTGTCAGGATTCACTGCTCTAGACCCTGACCTTTGGATTATAGTTTCTGTAGTCAGTTCACCATCCTTCCAACCTACAGTCAAATTATTTGAACTACTAGGGATAGTCTATCTGATTTGCCACAACTATTTTTCCTTTTTTAATTTTATTTTTTGCCACCACAACTATTGAAGAATGCTATCTTCATCTTACCCACGAGAAAATGGAGGCAGAGGGAGGTTAAGTGGTTGCCCAGATTTACCCAGATACTAAGTAATAAAACCATTACTTGAACTCAGGATTTATTACTTTAAATCCTGTATTGCCAATAATCAATTGGAAAATAACTGAAAATTGCCTACTATTTATAATAACAATAAAAACCATAGCATATTTATGAATTAACATATCAAATATAAGAATTTTAAGAAAAAAGAAAACTTTATTGAAGTGCACAAAGACCTGAGAGGTGTAGAGATATACCATATTCATGGATAGGCCATGCTAACATAATGACAACCTCTCCCCACATCTCTAACCTAAATGCTACCCCAATTAAAGTAACAGTAGGATTTCAGGAGAATTTAACAAACTGATTATAGAATGTACATGGAAATAAAGTCCAAGAGTATCTTAGAATATTTTGATAAAGAAAAGGAAAATAAATTTTTTGGGAAGGTGGTGAAGGAATGGAGACTAGTTCTACTAAATAGTAACACATATTAAAAAGCCAAAATAATCAAACAATATGATACTGATTAGTAATGAGAGAAAAGCAAATTAAAACAACAAAATACCACTCTACACCCACCATGTTGCCAACATTTGAAAGTCAAATAATTACAAGCATTAGTGAGCATAAAGGGAAATGTGAACTATCTTGCTTTGTTGATGGGAGTGTAAACTGTTTATGATCCCTGAATTATAGAAATTATAAACTAGTTGGGCGAAAAAATTAACATAGGAAATAAAGCGGCATATCCCAATCCTTAGGTTGAGTGCTTTAAGTCTTGGAAGATTTCAATAAAGAGAAATTAGGGGCAGGTTCATGGAATAAGTTGAACTGGAGTTGGACCTATGGAGTGGGTTAAGACAGGAACAAGATGAGCAGAATAAAGAAAGCATTCTTGTGAGAGGAAAGAGCCTGGGCAAATGCCCTAAACCAAAATCAGATATAATACCTCAAGGAAGAGTGAGGAAAAAAGATTTATTCAAGAATAGCATTCCTGCTGGGAATAGTGAGTAATATTTTTTATTAGAAAAGGGGCACCAGACTAGAGAGGATACTGAGTGCTTCTAGAGTACTTAAGTAACAGTATCATAGAAGGTTTCATCAGAGAGCATCTAATCTAAGCCCATCATTTTACAGATGAAGACTTTGAGGCCCAGAGAGGGGAAGTGACTTGTCTAAAGTCACACAGCATAATAAAGCACTTTTAAGTCTTGCCTGACAGGAAATATCTAGATAAGTTGGAAAACAGAGAGACAGAGAAATTAGGAAGAACTAGAAAGCACCACATCTAGAATTACTAACATGAGAATAAAAAGAAAAACATCTAAAATGGAGAAAATACAATACTTGAAGCTAGTATTGAGGTATATTTCAGAAAAGAGAAAGAAGTCTACGAGGCAACTAAGTTCTCCTCTGAAGATCAAGACCAATAATGATAAGGTTAGGTTATTCAGCACATTTTCTATGTGCCAAACACTATTTTAAGCATTCTGTAGGTATTAACTTATTTAAGCTTCACAGCATGAGGATATGCTGCCTTATTTCCTATATTAACTTTTTCACTCAACTAGTTCATAATTTCTGTAATTCGGGCATCATAAACAGTTTACATTCCCACCAACAGACCAAGATATTACAGTTCACATTTTCCTTTATCCTCGCTAATACTTATTTGACTTTCAAATGTTGGCAACATGGTGGGTGTAGAGTGGTAAGGGGGACACCATTGTTATCATCATCCTTTTACAGAAAATGACACCAAAGCACAAGTTAAGTAACTTGCCCAAGGGCTCACAGCTAAACGCTGACAGTTACGATTGAATCCCCAGCAGTCAGGTTCCAGAGCCCATGCTTCTTAACCGGTACACATGATGCTGTTAGAAATGAGATGGTTCAGAGACAGTGCAACTTCTCTTAGGGAGAATTTAATATTTTCTTTTAGATTAGACTCTAGTACAATGCCAAGAACAGAAACTCCCTCACCAAATAATTGCCCTCTCAACTTTATTGCCACCCTGTCATCCAAAGCAACTCCCAGACCCTAAGGAATGCAAGAAAGAAAGCATATGCAAAGCAATTTACCACCAGTGGTCATGTGCTGCCACCTTTCGTTATCTTCCCAGGACAGCACCTGTGCAGTTCTCCTTGGACAGTTCACTCAGGCCAAGGAACAGATTGTCAGGAAAGACATGTGAATTCTTTGCCCTTCCAGGCTGTTTTCACTTCATGTTAGGGGCTTCATGATACTGTTTTCCCAGAACTGACATAACTGATTGGTATAGCACTTGGGAGCTTATTCTTCCCATCCCTGAGCTTCTGTTTCTCAGTTACGGTGAGGGTTGAAGGGAGTTATATGTTCCTCAGGGCAGCCTATACGAGACATAAACATTTTCACAAACAGTAAAATACACAACACACACACACACGCACAAAACACACAAGCAGCTTCCTTAACCATTTTGTAAGCAGATTATTAGAAAATAACTCTGCCTTCGTTTCTCACATATTTTGCACAAACCGATAGATGGAAAAACATCATGTACCGCCAAGACCAGGGAATAAGAGCTCAGCTGGCAAATTAGGGGTTTTCCCTATTTCCCTCCCTAACGAGGTCAAGCTGTGTTCAGGTTAAGGCATGCTGAATTTGAAACGACAACCCACTCAAGTTGAGATATCCAGAAACAAATACCATGAGTTAAGAAAGAAGCCACACTGATATAAAGAAATGAGATTTATTGCCTTGTGGGGGGAAGGGATGTGGTTGTGATAGGCAGGCCACTCTGGGATCCCTGGGATGCAAGCCCAGGGACAGCAGAGTCCCCAGGTGGGAAATCTACACACACACCCCAGGGATGTCCCAGAGACTTCTTCTACCCTAAGAGGAGATCCTGGGCAGGATGTGAGAAATCTGAGCATCCTCTGTTTGGATGGCCGAAGCTGCTGGCATCAAACTCTGGTCTGGAAGAATCAGTCTGGGGGAGAGACAGGGATGGAGGAAAGGCATCAGGGGATCCATCCTCCTCCTCCTTCTCCTCCTCCTCCTCCCCCACAAAGGCCTTGCTCGCCCTGCCTGCACCACACCCTGCAGAAGTTGATCTCTCCTTGTTCCCAAATCATCTCCAAGCACCCTTCCTACAGCACCCCATGATTCCTTTTTTCACTCAAAGCAATTCTTGTGACCCATAACTGTGTGTGTGTAACTGGGTCCCCAACTGGGAAGATGTGCCCCCATGGTGCTGGATACAGGCCCCCACACCCAAGGGCCTGAGGATCGCTATATGTCCCCCCATGCCACAAAATAATCCTGACACATGCACGCATGCACCACTGTATCTGGCTCCCACAGGCTCACCCGCCCCCTCCAGATGACATACCACCTGAGCAAGGCTTCCGGAAGTAGATGATGAGAACAATGCCCACGATGATGCCCAGCACACCCAGGCCAAAGGCCACGCCACACAGCACATTCTCCAGCAGATCTGAGGGCAGTGCGTTCCGGGGTACTGGAGGAAATGAGTGGCTCAGCCTGGGGACCTAGTTAGGGAGCCTCCCACCCAGGGAAATGACGTGGGTGTCTGGGATGACATGGGAGACTGGGATGGGCTTAGGGTAGGAATGGACTAAACAAGGTACCAGTGGAGAAAGAAGCCTCCTCCCATGGATCTATCCCTTTTTGCCCCCAAAAGGACCAGAATTCCAGGGAGAAAGCCTCACCCCAATAGGCAATTGCTGTGTAGCGGTCAATTTCGTGAGTCACAATGCAGGAGAAAATGTCAGAAGGTTCTGGTGTGAAGTTTAAGTAAGAAAAGGCCTGGAAGCTGAGTCCATCGACAGCTGAGACAAAAGTAGGCCCAAATCCTTCCACAGGGACGGAATGATGCTGCCAGTTCACTGTCAGCATGGGTGGGAAGAGATTACTGACAAAACAGACCAAAGTGTTGGGCTTGCCAAACTCCAGGGGCTTCAGCGTGAACACTTCAGCGATAGGAAACCCTGGTGGGGGGATTGAAGTGTAGGGGGAAAAAGAGACTAGTTTAGATGGTATCTCTGTGTTTGGAGGGGCCATGGCATATGGAGGGGAGGGCAGAGAAGAACACAGTGGGTCAGGCTTTGGGAGACAGAGATGAGCGAGGAGCTGGGCTCTGAAGGGAGGTCTTCTTCCAGGCAAGGACTGCAGCTAGACGTAGAAGCAGAGCCAGATCCAGGCTACTCTGGACCCCTCCACCATGACTTCCTTCAGCACTTCCTGTCTAGAGCTCACATTGATGTCTAACCATGCACTGTCTTCTCACTAAGACATAGTCACGTCATCAGATATTTCCACTCTTCCCATCCATCTTGCTGGGCATAGTAGCACAAGTGTTAATATTCAGTAGGTATCAGTTGGTACCTGTTGAATTCATCACATTCAATACATAGTTCTGAATGCCTACTACATGCTAGGTACTTCGGCCCACCAAAAGAACACAGGGTGCAGACCAAGGCTGGTGGAAAAATTAAGGTGATGAAGAGAACCAGAAAGTATTTGAGATGGGGAGCTGGTATCAAGGGGAATTATTCAGTGTACAGATCAATGAGGTTAATGCAGCCCTCCTCCCTTCACTCCCCAGAAAACTCCTGACCTCTGGACACCGGGATTTTCCCATCAAGTTTTGGCCCTATTTGCTGGATCATCCACTCGCAGAACTCTTTGTCAAATAAAATGGCAGGAGCATCTCCCTGTTCCTGAGCCCAGTCAGCAAATTCGGGCAGGCGAGGCACCCGAGTGTTCTGGGAAAAGTCGAAGAAGAAAAGCTGGTCCTCGTCGTAGGCCTCAGAGAGTCCCACACTGGGACTCCCATCCTGGCAGTACACTGTGTGCAGGAATGTGTGGTTTTGCAGGTCATCTGGCCACATTGGAGTAGGAGCTGCAAAGGACACAGGGTGAGGTTCAGGGAGGTGGGAGCCTTCTCCTCCAACTTAAAAAACAGCAAGGTGGGGCTAGGCGCAGTGGCTCATGCCTGTAATCCCAGCACTTTGGGAGGCCAAGGTGGGTGGATCATGAGGTCAGGAGTTTGAGACCAGCCTGGCCAGCATGGTGAAACTCCATCTCTACTAAAAATACAAAAAAGTAGCTGGGCATGTTGGCATGCGCCTGTAGCTACTCGGGAGGCTGAGGGAGGAGAATTGCTTGAACCAGGGAGGCAGAGGTTGCCGGGAGCTAAGATTAAGCCACTGCACTCCAGCCTGGGTGACAGAGTGAGACTCTGTCTCAAAACAAAACAACAAAAACAAGCAAGGCCTGCTTAAGGAGCGTGGGCTGAGGTGAGACCCTTTCCTGTGTCTGTTATTTAGACTCCCCCTCCCAAAGGGGGTGAAGAACAAATTATGGCATCTCTCCAAGCTTCCCCTGCCTATAAAAAGGCCAGTTGGCAAAAGTAAAGAGTTCTACTTTCTAAAGTGACAGATTCAGGCCAGGCATGGTGGCTCATGCCTGTAATCCCAGCACTTTGGGAGGCTGAGGCAGGCAGATTGCTTGAGCCCAGGAGTTCAAGACCAACCTGGGCAACACAGCGAGACCGTCTCTACAAAAAATACAAAAACTTAGCCAGGTGTGGTGGCAAACACCTGTGGTCTCAGCTACTCTGGAGGCTGAGGCAGGAGGATTGCTTGTGCCTAGGAAGTTGGGGCTGCAGTGAGCCATGATTGTGCCACTGGACTCCAGCCCAGGTGACAGAATGAGCCCGTCTCAAAAAATATATATATAAAGGCCGGGCGCGGTGGCTCAAGCTTGTAATCCCAGCACTTTGGGAGGCCAAGGCGGGTGGATCACCTGAGGTCAGGAGTTTGAGACCAGCCTGGCAAACATAATGAAACCCCATCTCTACTAAAAATACAAAAATCAGCTGGGTGTGGTGGCATGCGCCTGTAATCCCAGCTACTTGGGAGGCTGAGGCAGGAGAGTCTCTTGAACCCCAGAGGCAGGGGTTGCAGGGAGCCGAGATCACGTCACTGCACTCTAGCCTGGGTGACAGAGCGAGATGCCGTGTCAAAAAAAATAAATTAAATCAAATAAAAAATTTAAAAATGTATATATATAAAATAAAGTGACAGATTCAGAGTCACTGTTCATTGTGTGTTTGGGGGCTGCACAAAGACACCTAGCCAAAGAAGCAAGTGAAAGCCTGCATTCTGCTCACCATGCCATACATCCTGGCATAGGGCTGTATCCTCCCAAAGGGGATTCCTTTGTCTAATTCATACCAGGCCACTGTATTGACTAGAGAAGGCCATGGATGGGTTTCTCACTCTTAGAAGGGAAAGAGGAGGAATGGCTACAGCCTCCCCAAGCCATAGATGGGACTGCCTCCCACTATCCCCAGACACAAATGGTAAATTGGAAAACCTGTATCCAGACATTTCTTCAGCCACTTCATTGGCACCAAGCGTCTCTCAAAATGTCTTCTGTTCCTTAACCTACCAGGCCTCCCAAAGACAGCAATGGGAGAAGTGACCCCATAACTGCATAAAATAATCCCTCTTCTTTGAAGCTCTTGGCAGGAATCGCTCAGCCAGCAGGAAACCTTTAACCCAATACCCAGAAAAACAGACATTTGGAGGAAGAGGGATCTTCCAGATTATTCTTCCATTCTGCCCCATCCTCTACAGAGAAGGAAACTAAGACACTTTTCAAGAATCACAAGATAAGTTAATGATAGAAAGCAGAGTAGAATCTTGAGTGGAGGAGTGAAAATAACATTCACTTTGTTCAAATCCCAGCTCTACCACTTTCCAATGGTGTGAACTTGCACAAATAACTCTGAGTCTCATTTTCTTCATTTGTAAAATGGAGAGAACAATCTCCGCTTCAAGAGATTGTCTTAAATGGAACATGCAAAGCATCACTGATATCGTTTACCAACCACACATAGCAGCTGTCTTTCCCCACTCCCCTGTTGTTTCCACTGCCTCATAAGACTTCCCACCACTCACAAAGCACAGCGCTTTTCCTCACAAAGCTGAGTGGGCTCCCTAGGTTCAGGATGGAAGTAAATAGGAGTACCATCTTACCTTCAGGGACGGCCCAGGAGTGGGGTAGCAGCCACAGAAGTGGTAACATCTGTAGCAGCGCAGCTCCTTGGTTCTGTTCATGACCCATACCTTCTTGCCACACAGTAGGTAGGAGCTACCAACCCAGCCAACCCAGCTTCCCCAACTCCCTCCCCGAGAGGGTGGCCTTAGATCATGTTTTGCCAGATCATTTCCAATAGGTGCCCTTGTCATTTTGTCTAAACCAATCAGAGAAGCGTAGGGTTTAACATCATCAGTCACTGGGGAGACGCCTGGGGCCAGTAACCTCCTGAAGACTTGGCTGTTTGACCAGGGCAGAGTATGGCATGTAACTGGGCTGGGAAGCCCAGTGGAGGAATGTTGCTTCCTGGTGGAGTTCCCTCTTTGGTTTCAAGCTGTCAGCCTCAGTCTGTAAGCGACCAGCTGGCTCTTCAGAGCAGTGCCACCTCCTGGCAGAATGCTGCAATGGGGAACCGCATCTTCCCCAAGTAAACCCCCAGGGCTCTTCGGACCCTGCCTTCTCCTCCCTCCTGGCTCTTCCTCTTTCTCAAAAAAACTTATTCTCCTTCAGGCATTAGCTCTAATTCATTTGGCAGACATATATTGAAAATACAAGAAATTCTGGGTGTTGGGCCCAGGGCTAGAAATACAAAGATGAATAGGCATAGTCTGCCTTCAAAGAGCTTAGAGTCTAGTGCTGGGGGAGGGGGCCAAGGGATAATTACACAACAATGTAATGTATTCAAATAAGAATGTGCCAAGTGTTTTGGAAGTCGCAGTAATTTTATGAGGATGCGGAATAGGAGGAACATAATCAGGCAGGCTCCTAAGACTTGAAGGAAAAACAATTTGGCCAGCAGAACATGAAGGAAGAGAAAAACACGCCAGGGCAAAGGGTAGGCAGAAGTACAAAGATCACAGGCATCCAGAGGTCCTCTTTGGAGACCCTGTGTACTAGTTGATATGAATGTTGTGAAGGTCGCTTGGGTGTTCCTGTATAATAGGAGGTAATGGGGGGTAGAAGGATGTTGTGATAAGCTACAAATTCGGGCAAGGGCCAGATCACGTGGGCCCTGCTACGCCACAAGGAGGAGCTTGCTTTTACTTAGCAGATGATAGAGATATTAAAACTGGGGAATGACAATCATTTTAGCATTTTGGAAAAAATGTTCTGATTGATATTTCAAACAATGAACTGGAGCTTTTAAAGAATTGAGGCAAAACTGCTGGGCAAGAGTCTATAGCATACCAAGATGAACAGTTGCACATATACACACCACTCCTGTAGCAATACAGCAATAATTTAAATGACAGATAATAAGAGCCTGAATTAAGTCATAATTAGAGGAGGCAGAGGAGATAGAATATCAAGATAATTAGGAAGTAGAATCTAAAGGGTTTGGCTACTGATTAGCTGTGGGAGTGGGAAGGTGGAGGAGTCAAAGATATCTCAGATTTCCAGCATGGGTGGCTGGGTGGGTGGTCAGGGATGGACTGAATTGAAGCAGAAAAGAATGCCATGGGAGCAGGTTTACAGAGAGAAAGAGCTTGATTTTGTACATGTTGAATTTGAAATGCCAGTGGAACAGCCAGCTGAAACTGCATGGGAGCGCAGTGAGGCGTGTGGGTATGGACCCCAGGTATGGTCTGAAGACCCTGATTTGAGAGTCATCAGCACAAATGTCGAAGCAGAGGCCATGAATAAGATCACCCAAGTAAACTGTGCAGAAGGAGTGGGAAGTGAAACAAGGACAAAAGCATGCATGGGCTCAAACCCCAAACCTCATACCAGTTATCCAGGATCCAGTCAGGAGCATTTAACTACTTTATGTGCTTCAGACTGAAAGAATTTAATATAGAGAATTGGTTACAAAGGTGTTAAAAGGGCAAGAAGTACAAAAAAAAAAAAAAAGGAGAGTCCTAGAAATGTACATTTTAAAAAAAGATTGCTATCTGGAAATCAGAAGCTGCCATCATCCCTGAGCTGGAATCTGTAAATCTACTCATTGCCTTGTGAGAGACACTGTCATAGTCAGTTCCAATCTACTAGAAAGGTGCCACCTCCTTCAAGGCTAGAATCCTTGAGAAGGTACTTCTGCTCAGGAGGCTGGAGTCCTGAGTCTCCCATTCTTCCTGCTGCTACAGCTACAGCCAATAGCTACCAGCTATTGCCAGCCACCGCCACTGTTTAGAGGCTGAAGCAGGATGCTTCTCAGTTTCTCTTGCCTTCTGATCTCCCATCAGTGCCTCCTACTGGCAGAATCAAAAAGGAAGCCAGATGTCCAGGAAGGCTGGGAAATACACACCTGGCTGACTCCTAAGCTAAGCAGTTCAAAACACAGTAGAGGAGGGTGTGTGTGTCACTGAGACAAAGATAATAACGAGTACACTGAAATACCCTGGTTTGTAAGAATCTGGTGGCACGAGGACCATCCAGAGCACTAAGAAAAGACCAAGGTAGAAGCAGATCAGAGAAATAAAAAAGAGGTGTGCCATGAAGGAGGGCAAGGTCAGCATTTTTAAATGCTACTCAAAAGTCAAGAAAGGATTGAAAAGTGTCCTTAGATTTGGTGATTATGAGATGGCTGACAAATTTATTGAGAGCAGTTTCAGTGTTGTAGTGGGAGTCAACTCCAGATTGTGGTGGGCTGAGAAGTAAGTGGGAGGTGAGGAAGAAACTGTCAGTGTACATGCTTCAAGTTTGTTAGACAAAAGAAAGAGAAAGACAGAAGGGGTGGGGGAAGAGGCAGTGAGAAAGCTCTAATGTGGCAATCAAGTAATCTGAGAAATTAATATATGTGAATATTGTCCAACAGTGTTTCTGAGGCTTTCAAAATTCATACCTTCCACCTTTTTTTTTTTTTTTTTTAAGACAAAGTTTCCCCTGTTGCCCAGACTGGAGTGCAGTGGCTACTTACAGGTGCAATCATAACTCACTCCAGTCTTGAACCCCCGAGTTCAAGCGATCCTCCCGCCTCAGTAGCTGGGGACTATAGGCACATGCCACTGTGCCTGGCTTCATATCCTCTTTTGATAAACAAGTAATAGCAGCAGTAATAGCCAAAAACAAAAACAACTCTATGACCTCCTAGATATTCTGGAACAGCAATGTGTATATATGTGTGTGTGTCTGTGTGGTGGAGGCAGGGTGCCAGGGAAGGACTAGGGTTTGGAAATCATGGTAACCCTCCAGAAAACAAAAGAACATTTCCCAGTATCCCAACATTTATGCACTAACCCATCAGCGGTTCTGGCAGTGGGGAGATTCAGGCCCCTGGACAGTAGAAAAGAAGTTTATGAGACTACCAGTGGGGAGACATATGGGACACAGCCACCTAGAGTCCTAAACCAGGGGTTAGCAAACTTTTTCTGTAAAGGGCCAGATGGCAAATATTTTAGACATTGTGGGCTATCAGATCTCTGTCATGAGTACTCAACTGTGGCACGAAAGCCTCCATGCACAATATGTAAATGAAGGAGAGTGGCTGTGTTCCTAGTTTCCTCCTAGCTTTTCCTCCCACTTCTTGAGCATCTCCTTCTCAGTCTCCTTCATAGACTCCTTCCTTTCAGCTACTCTTTAAATACTGGTGTTCCCTGGAGTTTTTGTCCTCAACCCTCTTTTTATTTATGGACACTAAAATTCAAATTTCATGTAATTTTCATGTGTCACGAAATATTCTTCATTTGCTTTTTTTTTCCCTAACCATTTAAAAATGTGAAGACCATTCTTAGCTTTTAGGCCATTTAAAAACAGGTGGTAGGCAAGATTGTGCTCACAGCCCATAGTGTGCTGAATGATGCTCTACACGTGGTCAGAATTGGTACGAAAGCCCCAAATTAAACCCACCCTTCAAAGAGGAACCTCAGTCCCCTTATTATTGGATTGGCAATCAGTTAACAAACACTTTGTGCCAGTTACACCAGTCTATTTGGAAGGAGATCTGGGGAAGAACAGGAGAAACTAGACTGGGTGGAAGGGCATAGGAATAGGTACAGCAGACACTGCAATTTCTCTGGGTGAGAGGAACAAGGCAGAGGGGTCCAAGTTCTCCATAGGGAGCACAGTGTAGACAAGACCAAGGTGAGGACAAACATAACCATCCCTCACCAAGACTGTGGTGAGGGGTGGTTAACTCCATTCTCCCCTTCTATAATCTCAGTTTAAATGGTAACAAGTTCAAACACTTATAACTACTCTTCCCTCCATGTAATCCTTCCCCACCAGGACCTCCCAACTACCTCCATCATAAGTATCTCAGGAATAGTCTCTCATCAGTTTGGAAAGTAATAATTGTGGGCAAGAGATGAGCAAGGCAGCCAGTTCTGCTTTGCAGTAGTTCACTGTCTACTTTGTCATTAGCTATGAATGCCTCTGAAAATAATGGCACAGCACCGGTAAATCCAGGAGGCTCTGGCTTTCTAACACTCAGCTCTGCCATCCCTTTCTAGCATTTAAAAATGGACTCTATTTGGCCAGGCGCAGTGATTCACGCCTGTAATCCCAGCACTTTGGGAGGCCGAGGGGGGTGGATCACGAGGTCAGGAGATCAAGGCCATCCTGGTTAATGGTAAAATCCCATCTCTACTAAAAATACAAAAAAAAAAAAAAATTAGCCAGGCGTGATGGCGGGTGCCTGTAATCCAAGCTACTCAGGAGGCTGAGGCAGGAGAATCACTTGAATTCGGGAGGTGGAGGTTGCAGTGAGCTGAGATCGTGCCATTGCACTCCAGCCTGGGTGACAGAGCAAGACTCCATCTCAAAAAATAAATAAATAAATATATAAAAAGGACTCTATTTTTTTTCCCCTAGCAGAGTCAGATTTCTTGGAAAAGTCATGGGCAACTGTGGCCCCGCTCCCATTCTTACCATTTAATCTTTTAACTCTCAACAATGCAATTGTTCACCAATACTTTTGTGTTGCCAAATCAAATGAACTAGTCTCTGCAACATCTGACACTGTTGGCCATACCCTATCTCCTAAATTGGTCAAATTTCTGGCATCCCTGATGGCACTCTCTCCTAGTTTTCCCTCCTACTTTTCTGGCGTCCCCTTTTCAGTCCCTTTGGGACTCCTTTCTTTCAGCAACCCTTTAAGTATTGGTGTTCCCTGGAGTTTTGTCCTCAACCTTTACTCTTCTTAGACTATACACTTGCCCTGGATGGTCCTCTCATTTACTCCCACATGCCTTCTGTTACCACCCATTTGCTAATGTCTTCCAAGCTTACCTCTTCAGCTCAGATCTTGCTCTGAGTTCCACACTACCCATATCTGAACCACTTCTGGTCAAATCCACTTGGATGCTATGCAATAGCAGTTTTTTGTTTTTGTTTTTTTTTTAAATATGGAACGCTTCATGAATTTGCATGTTCTTAAACTGTATTCTTCACAATAGCGTTCCTCAAGAAATAAAAAAAGTAAGTTTGATGATAGCAATCATTTATTTTTGAATTTATTTCCACATAGACATAATGCAACATCAAACACATTTATATAATATTTTTTATTATGTAACAATTTATTATATTTAATAAGTCTATTTATTGCAAGCAATAGAAACCAATTCTGGCTAACTTACATTTTAAAAATGAGGATTTATTGGAAAGATACTGATCTAACTCATGAAATGAAAGTAATAGTTGAATAAGCTAGCCTCAGGTAGAATAGCCACAGGGACCTTAGAAGCAGGGGTTGAGTTGCCATTAATATGCTCACCTGCAAAGGCCTCCTGCCTCTTTATCTTTCAAGTTTTGCTTTGCTGGGAGAGCCTCTCTCACTGGCTCAGCTTGTATTAGGTGTGTACCACTGGATTCATTGGTTGTGGCCAGGTACAGTATTACCTCTATGGATTAGAGCTATTCCTAGAGAAGGGAGAATCATATGAAAAGTAACCACCTCAATACAGCTATTTTCAACATATGGCATCTCAGACAATTGTATGAGATCATCTGAGGCATAAACATAAGGTTAAATCTGTGTATTAATGCTCAAACAGCATTTCCTAACTACTCAGGTGACATATGTCATCTGCTTGATGATCTCTGGTCGGTCACTTGTCTTATCACATATTCAAATTACATTTATCATGTGATTCAATATTGATTTATTAATTTAAAATTATATATTCCACGAATTTCCTTTGAATCTCTGACTAAAAAGGTTTTTTTAATTTTACTTTGAAAAGCTCCAAGCACACACAGAAGAGAAGAATCTAATAAACTCCAATGTACTCTCATGAATGTCAACAATTTTCAACATTTAACATTCTTCCATTCTTGTTTCATCTATTGTTCTGCATTTTTTGGAGTATTTTAAACAAATTCTGTCATTACATTTCACCAGTAAATACTTTTAGGCATATCTATAATAGATAATAACCTTTCCCTTAACATAACTATAATGCCATCACCACAACCAACAAAATTAAAAATTACTTAACTTCATTTGACCCAATCTGTTCATTTCTCCTAGTTATCTCAAAAATGTGTAAGAGAATGAAGTTTTAAATGAAAAGCAGTGTCTTATAATTTTCAAACCGTGCCATTAGTTTAAAAAAATTGGTGAGTTTTCTATTTTATGTTTCATAAGCTATTGATGGTTCAATAATGAATTCTAATTAGGTATTCCATAGGCAAATAAAGTTAGCAATTGTTACTCTGAATGTATCTCCATCTCAAGATTACAAGAGTACACTCATCACTTTCCCTTCCCAATATATTCCAACTCCTCTCTTATATTTAAGACTTCAGTGAATAACAAGATGTCCACCCGAGCTACAAATGTGGGTCATCGTTGATGACCCCATCTTCCTCAAACCTTCCCATTCAATTGTCCTAACAATTCTACCTTTCTAATAGCTCTTGAATCTTCCTTTCTTTTCCTTCCATTCCTACTGGTCCAGGCCTTCAATGGTTGGTTTTCACTGATTATTGCAACTTTCTTTATAATTGGTCTCTCTCTCTCCAATCTTATTATTTTCCACAGTGCTGCCAGAAGGATATTTTTATTATGCTTAGTTGATCATATTATACTTCTGCATGAAAACCTTCCATGATTGTTAATGATCTACTTTCCTTGTCATGACCCATAATGACCTGAAGTCTACTTACCTACTTCTATATGTCTTTTCAGGTGAAATCTCACTCCTCTCAGGAAGCCTTCCTTGAACCCAGAGTTGAGATTAATAGCCTCTTCAGTACGTTTCCAAAGCACCCTGTGTTGGCCATTATCACTGTTTTAATTGTATTATTCTCTTCCATTTATATGTCTGTTTCATAGTCACCTCATCTCTACTGCAAGGTCCTTAGGGGAGGGTGTACTATATATATATATATCTCCACCAAGAGGCCCACTAAGTGACCTTTCACTCGATGAACAAATGGGCTACCAGTCTCTGAAGGTGCTGAACTGAGAATGGAAGAGCCTTCAGGTATTAGATGATGATGGATTGTCCCTTCTAACAGATGTTTCAAAGGTAAATCTTATCAGGTTTATCTATAAGCCATTCTTTTTTTTTTTTTTTTGAGATGGAGTTTCACTCTGTTGCCAAGGCTGGAGTGCAGTGGTACGGTGTCCGCTCACTGCAACCTCCACCTCCCAGGTTCAAGTGATTCTCCTGCCTCAGCCTCTGGAGTATCTGGGACTACGGGCACGTGCCACCATACCCGGCTAATTTTTTTTTTTTTTTTTTGTATTTTTAGTAGAGATGGGGTTTCACTGTGTTAGCCAGGATAATCTTGATCTCCTGACCTCGTGATCCACCTGGCTCGGCCTCCCTAAGTGCTTTGATTACAGGCATGAGCAACCACACCCAGTCTCTATGAGCCATTTTACACCTCCACAGCCTTCCCTATATACTCTACTACCCTTCCAATTCCATTCTAGGCCCTTCCCAAGCTCCTTGCCAACTACCATTTTCTTCCTACTCCCTGCCACCTCCTGTTTCAGAGAGCAAACCTAGCCATCCAGCTCCCACATTTACTCTTATTTCTACCTCAGTACATTTCTCCATACCCATATTCATCCTCCCTTTTAGTGACATTACTATGATGCAGCAATCCTTACAACTACTCTACAAGGTTATAATTTATTATCCCCATTATATAAACAAGAAAACTGGGACTCAGAAAGGTTCATTTATTTAGCAAATATTTATTGGCCACCTTCTGTGTCTAGCAGTATGCTCTGTATCAGATACCTGCCATCATCACACTTAAAGTCTAATGAAAATAAAGAGACATTAAACAAGAAAACATACAAATTTATAAACTAAAAGGTCCACACACACACACACACAAAATCTCTTAGAATTGATAAATTCAGTACAGTTGCAGGATACAAAATTATCATATAAAAATTAATGGTGCTTCTGGATACAAACAGTAAACTAGTGGGAAAAGAAATCAAAGAAAGTAATCCCATTTACAATAGCTACAACCCCTCCCCCCACCAAAAAAACAAAATAGAATACCTAGAATAAACCAAGGAGGTGAAAGATCTCTACAAGGAAAACTATGAGACACTGAGGAAAAAAACTGAAGAGGTCACAAAAAAATAGAAAGACATCCTATGTCTTCGGAAGAATTCGTATCGTGAAAATGACTGTACTACCAAAAGCAATCTACAGATTTGTTGCAATTCCTATCAAAATACAAAGATATTCCTTGCAGAAACAGAAAAAACAAACCTAAAATTAATATGGAACCACAGAAAACACAAATAGTCAAGGTAATTCTGAACAAAAAGAACAAAGCTGTAGACATCATACCACCCAACTTCAAAATATACTACAAAGCTACAGTAACTAAAAGAGCACGGTACTGGCATAAAAACAGATACACAGACCAATAGAACCGAATAAAGGACCCAGAAATAATAGATCCACATCTTAACAGCCAACTGATTTTCAACAAAGGTACCAAGATATTCAATGGGAAAAGGACACACTCTTCATTAAATGGTGCTGGGAACACTGAATAACAATATGCAGAAAAATACAACTACACCCCCATCTCTCATCAAATACAAAAATTAAATCAAAATGGATTAAAAACTTAAATGTAAGACCTGAAACTATAAAAGTTACTGTAAGAAAATACTGGGGAAATGCTCAAGACTTTGAGCAAACATTTTTTGGTTTAAGACTTCAAAAGGAGAGGCAATGAAAGCAAAAATACACAAATGGGATTACATCAAGCTAAAAGGCTTCTGCCACAGCAAAGGAAACAATCAACAGAGTGAAGAGACAACCTTCAGAATGGGAAAAAATATGTGCAAACTATCCATCTGATAAGGGATTAATAACCAGAATATATAAGGAACTCAAACTCAACAGCAAAAATCCTCCAAATAATCCCATTTGAAAATGGGCAAATGATCTGAATAGACATTTCTCAAAAGACATACAAATGGCCAACAGGCATATGAAAAAATTCTCAACGTTACTAACCATCAGGGATATGCAAATCAAAACCACAATGAGATATCATCTGAATCTAATTAAAATGGCTATTATCAAAAAGACACAGATAAGAGATACTGGTGAGGATGCAAAGAAAGGGGAATGCTCATATACTGATGGTAGAAATGTAAATTAACATAGCCACTATGGAAAACAGCATAAAGGTTCCTCAAACAACTAAAAATAGATCTACTAGATGATTCAGCAATCCCACTGCTGGGTATATATCCAAAAGAAAGGAAATCAGTGTATCAAAGAGATGTGTACATGCCCATGTTTATTTCAGCACTACCCACAGTAGCCAAGACATGGAATCAATCTAAGTGTCTATCAAGTGACTGGATAAAGAAAATGTGGTGTATATATATACAATGGATACTAGTCAGCCATAAAAAAGAATGAAATCCTGTCATTTCCAGCAACATGGATGGAACTGGAAGTCATTATGTTAATGAAATAAGTCAGACACAGAAAAAAAAATATCACGTTCTCATAAGTGGGAGCTAAAAAAGTTGATCTTATGGAGGTAGAGGGTAGAATGATGGTTACCAGAGACTGGGAAAGGGAGGGGGTGGAGGGGGGATGAAGAGAGATTCATTAATGGTTACAAAAATATAGTTAAATTGAAGGAATAAATTCTATAGTGTTTGATAGCACAGCTGGGTGACTACAGTTAACATTAATTTACTGTATATTCCAAAATAGCTAGTAGATTTGAAGTGCTCCCAACAGAAGGAAATAATAAATGTTTGAGGTGATGGATATCCTAATTATCCTGATTTGATCATTACACATCGTATGCATGTATCAAAATATCATATGTACCCCATAAATATGTACAATTATTATGTATCAATAAAAAATAAAAAAAAACAATTCAGAAGTCCATAAACTTGGATGGAATAAAAAAAAGTCAACTTTATTTTCAAAAAACTCTCACTGAAATCTAATTTTATGAATGTAGAAAATAAATCTTTGTAGTACCAGCCAGCAGCTGTAACACTGTCATCAATAGAAAACACCATCAATTAATATTTTCATATCACATTATAGTTGTTACAGACATCTTAAAATATCACTTACAATTATGGGAGCTGTTAAACTTGCCAAAAAATCATGCTTTTTAATGTATTAGTAAAGAAACACTGTATTGTATTAATACAGAAACACATACTACTAGATCATCACACGTTTCTTTGAATATAGTAGTGTCCCCCACACAGCACCAAATGTGATTATACAGTTTATTCCTATCCATAGATATACCTATGATAAAGTTTAATTTATAAATTTGCACAGGAAGAGATTAACAACAAAATAGGACAATTATATTGTAATAAAAGTTATGTGAATATGGTCCTTCTGTCTCATACACAAAGTATCTTATTGTACTTATTTTCAGACCAGGTTGACCTTGGGTAACTGAAATCACAGAAATTGAAACTGCAGTTAAGGGGGGACCACTGTATTTTGATAACTATAGTTTATATTTTATTTTATGCATTTACAAATATTATCAGACAAGATCCAAAGGCTTCACCAAACTGCCAAAAAAGCTAATGGCACATAAAAAGCTTAAGGAGTCCTGATTTAATCAGTCATTCAATGAACATGACATCCTTCCTGGAACCATCTCCTGTTCTAGCTTCCTCACATTATGTTGCTCTGCTTCTCCTTGAGATCTTCCATTGGTTCCACTTCCTATTCTTGCTTCCTGTATGAAGATGTAACCCAAAGCTCAATCCTTCACCCTAAATTGTTTTTATACCCCCTCTTTTACAAACCTCAGCTACCTTCGTGGCTGATTCAAACATCACCTCAAAGGTGACTCTCAAATCTGCTTTTCCTAATCTTTTTTCTCTAACTTCAATCTTGGATCTTAAACTCCCTGCTGTGCCTAGTAAACAGAATAATATGCCACCCAGAGTCAGCTGGGTTCAAATCCCAGTTCTGCTACTTACTAAAGGTGTGACATTAGGTAAATATTACCTGCTATGGTTTGAATCTCTCCTCCAAAACTCTTGTTGAAAATAATTGCCATTTTGACAGTTTTAAGAAGTGGGACCTTTAAGAGTTAATTAGGTCATGAGGGCTCTGCTCTCATGAATGGATTAATGCTACTAATGTAGGTATGGGTTCCCATTTAAAAGGGGACATTCTGAGGCCGGGCACAGTGGCTCACACCTGTAATCCCAGCACTTTGGGAGGCCGAGGCAGGTGGATCATGAGGTCAGGAGATGGAGACCATCCTGGCTAACACGGTGAAACCCCGTCCCTACTAAAAATACAAAAAATTAGCCAGGCTTGGTGGCGGGCACCTGTAGTCCTAGCTACTTGGGAGGCTGAGGCAGGAGAATGGTGTGAACCCGGGAGGAGGAGCTTGCAGTGAGTCAAGATTGCACTACTGCACTCCAGTCTGGGCGACAGAGCGAGACTCCGCCTCAAAACAAACAAACAAACAAACAAACAAAGGGTACATTCTGGCCTCTATTCTCTCTCCATCTCATGTGCTTGTTTGCCTTTCTGCCGTGGGATGATGCAGCACAAGGCTCTCACCAGATGCCAATGCCATGCTCTTGGACTTCCAAGCAACTGGAACTGAGCCAAATAAACTACTGTTTATAAATTACCCAGTCTGTGGTATTCTGTGATAGCATCAGAAAACAGACTAAGACGTCCTTTGCTTCTGTTGTTTCATTTGAAAACTGAGGGTGATAATATTAGTATTGACTTTATAGGGTTATAAGGATTAAAAGAGTTACTACATGTACTCATTGCAGTACCTGACACATTTTAACTACTCAATAAATGTTTTGTATCACCAATCACATCTCCTTCCAACCCCGACATTTTAATTTGATGTTTATTAACATGGACGGTGCCAGCCACTGGAAGACAGAGTTTCTATCTAACAACATAATTCTGATCAAGTCATTAGTCAAAAAATTTCAGTGGTTCCCCACTGATTCCAAACTTAACAGCACTGGAAACCTTCTATAATGTGTTCTCTAATATAAATTTACCTCCCATTTTCTCTTCTCCTGCTCTACTTCTTGTAGCTTATGTTCTGGCCAGACTGGACTAGACTACTCTCTGTGACAATAACCTGTGCTGTTCTATGTCTGTCTTTCCTCACATAATTCTAATGTCTCAGGTTTGAAGGCAATAATTTTGTCTATGATTATTCCCCTATACATGGCACCCCATAAAACATACACATTTCAATCTTACCTAAGTCACATACTTACTTACACATCAATTCACCTCCATATTTGCTCAATTTGTGAGAACCTAATATTGGCCAGATACTGTGCTAGGACCTAGGGATATTAAAAAAAAAAAAAAAGCAAAGCAAGAAAAAGAATGCATAATGGCCCTGCTCTCAAAATCAAGGTCTAGTACTAGAGAGAAACATGTAATCACATAAATGCCATTCACTGTGGAAAGTAAAATCATAAGGGGAAGGGACACCAAAGAATGAGCAGTTAGCTCAACTTGAACAGTAACATTAAGCTTTTCAGAGATGTTATTTGGGCGTACATAGATTGGGGAAAAGTCTACTCCATATAGAAAGTGCACATGTGTAAAACACAGAGGCATGAAACAAAATGATGTGTCTGGGAAACAGTTCAATACAGCTGGAATATAGGGCCCAAGAGGAAGTGGTTAGACATGAGGCTGGAAAGCTAGGCAGACTGTTTTGGCAAACATAGGAATTTGGACTTTATCACATAGCCAATAAGGAATAACACAGAGTTTTAAAAAGAGCTATGGCCAGGGCTATATTTTGGAAAGCTCTCTCCTGGCAGTATTGTGGCAGAGGCAGAGAGGAAAGTCTAAAGCAGCACTGTCCAACAGAACTTCTTGTAATGAGGCCGCGCGCAGTGGCTCACGCCTGTAATCCCAGCACTTTGGGAGGCTGAGGCGGGCGGATCACGAGGTCAGGAATTCGAGACTAATTTGGCCAACATGGTGAAACCCCGTGTCTACTAAAAATACAGACACTAGCCGGGTGTGGTGGCAGGCGCCTGTAATCCCAGCTACTCGGGAGGCTGAGGCAGAATTGCTTGAACCCGGGAGGCAGAGGTTGCAGTAAGCCAAGACTGCGCCACTGCACTCCATCCTAGGCCACAGAGCAAGACTCCGTATCAGGGAAAGAAAAAAACAACTTCTTGCAATGACACAAATGTTCAATAATCTGTGCTTTCCCATATGACAGCCACTAGTCACATGTGGCTATTGAGAACTTAAAATGTGGCTAGTGTATTGAGGCACTAAATTTAAAATTGTATTAATTTAAATCCAAATAGCCATGTGTCTAGCAAATAATTTAGGAGACTGTTGGTATAGCTCAGGTGATAGAATTAGGACAGAAGGGTGAGTTGATGGATAGTTAAGAGGCAAAATTATGAGTCTGTAAGGGTGTGAGAAAAGGAAATCAAGAACAGGCTCCCAGATTACAGACTTTGTGGTTAAACAGCCACCATTACTCAGGACAACAGAAGAGAAAGAGCAGGTCTAGAGTGTATAGTGATTTCATCAATTTTGAACATACTGGTGTCTGAGAGTTATCCCAGTGGGAATATTTAGTAGAAAGTTTAGCTTAGAGAGCTGTCTGAACTAAAGATTCAGACTTCAGAGGCTTTGAGCCATGGAGTCAGATTACCTAGAGAAGTTGAACAAAATTAGAAGCAAACAAGAATCACAGCAAATATCAACACATAAAAAGGGGCTAAGGAAGAAAAATCTACTGAGACTGGAGAGGAACAGTTACACAAATAGGAAAAGAAACAAGTGAGAGTGGTATAGAAGTCAAGGGTAGAGAGAATGTCAGGAAGGAAACATGATCAAATGTCGAATGCCTCAGAGGTCAAATAAAGTGAGAACTGTAAAGTGCTTCCTGACTTTGCCAGTTAGGAGGTTCTTGGTGACATCTGCCAGAAAAGTTTTGGTGGTAGCAGCCTGACAGAGGTAGCTTGAAGAGTGGGGATGGGGAAAGAGAATGTGACCAAGAATTGAGATAGTAAGGATAATTTCAATTTCAGGTCTTGGCTGTGCAAGGAAGCCGAGAGACATGAGTCTCTAAGAGGGCACGATATTGAGAGGGTTGTTATCTTTCTGTCAGCGGGGAAACCAAGAGAAAAGTTTAAAAAGGTCAAAAGGGGGAGAAGGGAAGACAGCTTCCGGGTAACAGAGAAGGTTGACCAGGTCAATAGTAAAGGATTTCCTCAAACCGAAGGGAGGACCTCTAGTGAAATGAGAAAGGAATACACAATTGACCCAGTTTGCAGGTGGGAAATGGGAAGCCAGTTCTGCAAATTGGCCTTTCTGTTCTGTGAAGTGCCATCTGTCGGTGAGGAGAGATTAGGGTCTGCAGCGTGAAAATCTGGACCATACTCTGGGTAATCAAGGGAGAGGTTATCGGCTAATGACAAATTAAAGGCTTACTTTTTAGCTGGCAACTGAATCACCATAACATTTTATGTTACCAGTTCCAAAATTTTGGGGGGAATTCACTCAAGCTTGGGAGAGGAGAGATCATAACTTTAAGAGTATAAGAGGTTTAAACGGTCCACTACGAAATAAATAGAGAAGGAAAAGTTATCAGCTGGTAAATATCGTAGAAGGTAGAGCGGTCCAGGGACTCACAGGTCTCACTAAAGAAAAGTCTAGCGTAGGTTCACGGCACGGAGAGATTTTAAGGCTGCCTAAGACTAAAGCCAAATACGAAGTCCACATCTGCGGTCCGCACCTTATCTCTCCGCGCGGCAGGCGCGACGAGGGCGAGAAACTCCCTCTCCAGTGGTCGCACCACACGACACCAGGGAAGGGGCCCCTCTCTCCAGACCCTCATATCTCCAGGTCCAGGCCCCATTTTCCTCCGCTGACAGCTCAGCAGCGTGCGCTTCCGCTGGATTCAGGCCAGGACCAGCGAAGCCGCACCTTACACCCACCGAGGAGGAAACAAGCCTGGCCACCCGAGGCTACCCCGCTAGGCCGCGGGTAGTGGGGGAGGGGGCGCTGAGGCAGGAGGTCAGCACCCGGGCGCGGGCTCCCGCCCCACGAAATGCGCGCGCTCCAAGCCCCGCCGCCGGAGATGCGGTTCCGGTCCGGACGCCTGCGCACTACGGCTCTCCCCGCAGCCTCTGGCCCTCCTTCCCCCTCCCCCAGTCAGGGCGCACCCTTGCGCCTGCGCTGTGTGTGTTCCTGGTCTGCGGCAGCCATGCTGAACTCGTATGGAGAGGCGAGTGGGGGGGACAGAGTCCAGGACTGCGGGATAGGAAGCTGGGGATATGGACAAGCAGCAGCGTTATAGCGCTCTGGGTTTCGGGACATAGGCCTGGGCCATGCGGCCCCCTTGGCCCCTTGGCGCGACCCCCAGGAACGTTCGGAAAGCTGGTCCTCGTGGCTGGGGGAAAGGCGGGGGGTGGGGGGGAAGCGGGCACGTGACCCCGGTCAGCCAATCTGGGTGCTGCTGACGTGGCCGCGCGGCCCCGATGCTCTCCCCACCCCCCCAGCCCGTTCGGGAAGGGAGGGGCTGGGGGCTACGCCCCCTCCCCCAGCACGGCTTCGTTTTCTGGGGGGGGGTTGACACCCCGGATTACATACCCCGTACCAAGCCGAGGGCAACTTTGGAGGCCCCCTGGAAGGCTTTAGGATCCAGGTGAGAAGGGGCCCTTGTGGGGCGGAGATGTCAGTCAAGTGCTTAACCAATGGTGGGGAGTCCGGGAGGGGGATTCTTGGGGTTCAGGAAAGAATCCTGAGAGTGGGAAGATTTGTCCTTCAAACCTTTTACAGCCAATGGGAGCGTGGAGGGGGGGCGAGCGGGAGAGGGCCATGGGGGGGGAGGGGAATGGCCAGCCTCATGCCTCCGTACCCATTGGAGGGCAAAGGGGTTAGGGGGCGGTGTGGCCCCCCCTATTCCATTCGTCCCCTGGGGGTACAGCAGCCGGGAGCCAGGTGAGAAGGGATCCATCGGCGGCCGAGGGAGGGGTGACCTGGCGGTGGGCTGAGGAGTGGTGGCTGTGGCCCCTACCCGTGGATGTGAATGCTTTAGGAGTTGGCCACCCATGTTGTGAACTGAGGTTGTTCCCAGGCGCCAACTTCCTTTCTCCCCAGAGCCTCTGGAGGGAGCATTGCTGTGCGCCCTTTGTGTCCGCGGTAGGGGAGCTCCAGTCGTCACACCGCAGGCTGGAGGTTACGCTTCGAGTCGCTTACCGAATTTGTGTGCATTCACGTGGACACGGCCTGTGGGGCCTTTTGCCCCTGTAGGGTCTTTACTGAGCACGTGTCTACTCCAGGCTGGGGTGCTTACAAGCTGAAAGCTTGAGGTCTGCTTAGGAACAGAAACCAGGCCCAAGGTGGGTGCTGGCAGTAGGGGGTCTAGACAGCATGGTCTGAGATGCGAGGGAGGCTCGGGACCTGGAATGATTTCACAGCTCCCAAGGTTTCGGGTTTCTCCAGGGTGGCCTCTTCCATCGCCTCCCTCATCCCCTCCCCCAGTCCTGAACAGTTCTCTCCTTGTGTACTGCGGGGGAGGGAACGGAAAGGAGGAAAGAGTTACTTTCCCAAATTACTGAGTAGCAGTAGCCTCCCTGGTGACTCATGTGGGGGAAGGGAGGATAGAGGATCGGGAGGCAGTGATTTTCCGGAATGCAGGGAATAAACGAGAGCAATGTCTGGCTGCCCTTTTCCTAAGGCCTAGTATTTTCTCAGCCTCCTAAGTTTTTACTCCATGGCCGGCCCCCTGATGGGCCTCTGTCCTGGCCTGCAGAGCCCCGGTGGAGAAAAGCAGATTTGGGAGGTTGGGCCGCTAGGGGGAGGGGAAAAGGCCTCTGCAAAGTTGCTGTGTCATTGCCCTCCATGCTGCAGCCACCCAAACGGGGCCGCTTGTACTTTTGGGGGCCAGGGCCTGATCCCTGGCTGGGGGAAGGGGACTCTGCTCTCCTGACGCTCATTTTCCCCCGCCCTCCCGGGGTTTGCCCTACTCGGGGGGTCAGAAGACAGGAGATTGGCGGCCATTTTAGACGCAGTAACCGAGGTTGGAGTTGAAGGGCTACTGCAGAGGAGGGAGGGTGGCGTGGTTGCAGCTCAAGGACCTAGGCCCTTACGAGCCCTTCCCGGGCGAGGGGGAATCTTACCGTATATTTGTTCACCTACGTTGATTATTTTTCCCAGATACGTACACAAGTTTGTTTTCTCCCTGGTAGCGAAGAAAGGGGAAACGGGGGAGGGGACGCCCCACCAAAGCCCAGGTTTTCTCGGGTGGGGGAGATCCTTTCACTCTCTTGTAAGGGGGCGGGGACGGCCCCAGAGATGCTCTGGAGATCCTGACTCTGGGCTCTGGTTGATTCACAGAGTCTGCACCCTTATTTAGATAACCAAGTTAGGAGGAAGACTTAAGAGTAAGTTGGGGGGAGGGGGCGAAACTGAGCTCCCAAAATGGCTCCTGCCCCTCCTCGGAGGCGGACGGCCGGGGGGAGGGGAGGAGGGGAGGAGGGGGAGGGCTAGTCTGAGCCGCAGCCGCCGCCTCCTCCGCTCGCCCTCCTCCCTGGCGCTGACCGATGGACCAGCCGCTCCGTGGGGAGGACTCCGGACCCTGGTGGGGGGGCGGGGGGGTTCTTTCGCCCCCGTGGCGGAGGGCCCCTGAGAGGCGGATACGGGTGTGCCTTTGGGGGTGATGTGGCGTGTGGGGGGAAAGGTCCGAGCTCGCCTGGAGGGGGAGGGTTTTTCCCTTAAGTCATCCCTCCCAGGACTTGCTTTTTCTGCTCTGAGCCGGACGCCGGAATGGAGTTTGAGGAAGAGGTGAGGTGTGTTGCATTGTATAGGGTAGATGGATGCGTTTGGAGATTTTAATCCCACTTTTAGGGTTGCCGAGGATTTTTCGAACGAGCAGAAATGTATTGGTAACTGTAGGTGTGAGTGGGGAGGGATTAGAAAGGTGCTTGGACGTGCAAATTTGGGAGACGTATTTTAGCTTTTGTGGTCTTTGGGACTAAACAGTAGTAAATAATGTTTTGCTCGTCTTTCCATCGTTTGGCTTGAGGGAGGGAGTGGAGTATTATAAGACTCTGGCAACACTGTTTTAGACTGTGGGGCATGGGAACGTTAGATCCCCTCATCGCCGTTCTGAAGCCCGTAGCTGTTCGCCATAGAGGAGCAGGCCGCGGCTTCTAAGATGGCGTCTTTTTCCTCGTTTCAGATTCTTCGCTGCTGCTGCCTTACCGCCGAGAACCACCACCCGCCAGGCGTCTTGCGGCCACACCCCTGGCGGGTTCAGGCAGGCTACGCCCACGCGACCCCTCCCGTTTCCCTGCTTTGGCCAATGGAGGAGCTACGAATGGCACGACCTGCTCGAGCTTGGCAGTCTCCAGTTGGGCTGTGCATGGAAGCTTGGGAAGACTTTGTTGGAAGGGGAGGCGGGGAGAGAGTGCTGGAGGCTCTGGGGCGATGGCTTCCGCACCTCTTCCAACCACCCTCTTTCCCTGGAGTCGGCGGACCACAGCTCAGCCAATTGGCTTGGAGATGTGGCGGGTTGCCACTTCCCTGTGGGTCTCTGCGGCACTCTTCTGCCTGGTGACTGACACCTTGGAAATGAAGTTTATGACGTCATCGTTGCGGCTGGCCAATAGAAAAAGCTCCCGCGGAGAGGTGTTCCTTCCCCTTCGACTCAGCTTCTTCACCCGCGTGAGCGAGCGCGCGCGCGCGGAGGGGGTGGGGAAAATCTCAAGCAGGGTGGCGCGCATGAGCGGCGAAGCTCCTCCTCCCCGCCTATATATAAAGGGCTGGCGCGGGGCTCGGCGGCGCCATTTCGTGCTGGAGTGGAGCAGCCTCTAGAACGAGCTGGAGGATTCTGCCTACCGATACAGAGCCTTCGAGTCGTCCGGGGCCGCCATTACAATCCACCTCCATCCGCTTGGAAATGGCCTTCGTCCCGGCCTATGACTGGTCCCAGCGGGCAGTACAGACCCCCTAGAAGCCCCTGGAGCTCCCCTTTTTCGGGCCCCGCCCAATCCTCGGAGTCTGTCCACCCCCTCTACTCCGCCCTCAAGAGGATTTCAAAGATGGAGGCGGCGGCTCCCTAAACCACTTTTCGTGTTCATCCGCCTCCATCCGAGATCGAAACGGGACCTCGTCGGCCCCGTAGGGGCCCGACAAGAAGAGGGAATCCCTGCAGACCAACAGCGGGCTATATTGACGACGGTGTCTGAGATCGGGGACCGTCTTTTGAAGAGTCAGTCCCTCCTTAGTTGCCCGCCTCAGCTGAGGCCGCCGCCATTTTCTTGCTGTCCGCCGTCTGCAGAGCGCGCCAAGCTGCCCGGAGCTCTCCGAGAGGCCCCAAAGAGACTGCTTTCGTGCCGGCCAGGCAGGGGGTTTGTCGCCTGGAGGCCCAAGAGGAACGGCCTCCCCCCAACTTAGCGGGTTATGCTGGACCGGGCGGTGAGGGGAACCGAGGCCACCCGGACTTTCCGCGGCTGAGGGCAGCGCCGGTTCCTTGCGGTCAAGATGCTGCAAAACGTGACTCCCCACAATAAGTACGTTTCCGCGAGCCGCGTGTGGGAAGGGGATGTTGCAGGGCGGCGGCACAGGGGTGTGGGGCGCCGTGTTGGGAGTACTGAGCGGCCCCGGCGCGCTGCTGTTGCGGCGCAGCTGTCGACTCGGTCGCGCGGAGGGAATTGAGCGACGGTTTTGGAACGGTGGTGGCGGCTCGGCTACTGCTCGTGGAGGGGAATACAGGTTGTCAATTTATACGCTATTAATGCCGCCGTGGCCCAGTCTTAACCGAGTCAGGCAGAGCTAGTTTGACGGTGGAGTGGAGTGAGGTTGAACAGCAGGTTTGGCGTTTGGTGGGTCTGGTATCTAGCGGCGGTCTGTTAGCCTTTTAGGGGGGATTCACGGACACCTCTAGCGCCCTGTAGGGTTGCCATGGTGACGGAGCGCTTAAGGGACTGGCAACGGGGATTCCCAGAGAAGGGTAAAGGGATCACTCTCCCGTGTGTGCAGGTTCCTAATGCCCAGGGCATGTCATTAAATCTTTTGCTTTCTTTGGGTGGGTGGGTTGTGTGTGGTGTTTGTTGGTGCAGGGATTGTTTTTTCCTAACATTAAAAGTTTGATTCAGGGCAGGAGGGTAGAGCTAAGGTTCCTAGTTCAGCTCTGCGATGTAAACAATGAGATTCCCATATGATGTTTTAATTCTTAGGTGGTAGGAAAGACTGATCGGAGGAGCACCAGAGGGACTGTAAATGAACCACTGTTAGCGTTTGGTGTCCGGAGTTGGTGCTACAGGGGGAACTGGTAGTGGAATCGTGTTGTGTAGTGGGTGGGTGGAAGGGGGCTATCACTTGGTGACCTTGACTGTTTTGTACGGCTTTTTGACTTCCTTGGAGTGAGGAGACTCTGATTTGGTGCGAATAATTTTGAGGGCCTGGAAGTTACGGGCTGTGAAGTCTGACAAATTCTTCCTTGTCTGAATTTGTTTTTAAGTTGATATGGTTCTTCCTCTGGGTTTCTAGTCTATGTTCTGTTGTGGCGTGAACTACCCAGACCTTGTGGAAGATGGTGCTCTCTCTTCTATCTAGGTGGATTATTCTGTGTCTTATCAGCATTTTATGGAATTTTTTATAGCCATAATTTGTTCTTTTCCTCCTTACCGGCGCTCAACCACCATGGCAACCACCAAACCCCTAGTGAGGAGGAAGCTTGGGGTTTGAGTTTCTTAACTCCACCCATTTTGCTTAATCCCCATCCCCATAGGGCTGTAGTTCTGAGATGTCGTGCCTTGTCAGAAACAATTTGGGAGTTTTTTAAAATATGAAAAAGAACAGATAGAGCCTATCAGACTTAAGAAGGTGGGATCTAGATAGTATACTAAAAATATTAATAAAAGGAAGGCGGGGCCAGCAATAAAAGCTCCACAGATTGTTTGGATATTGTTTCTGCTTAAGAAGCACTTGGCATAAGCTTAACCACCTCACTAGGGCCAGCACCTGGATTCATCAGACTATTGTGCAGATGCACTTTTTCCTCATTTGGACGATATTGCCCTAATTTTGTTCCCATCTTTACAGGCTCCCTGGGGAAGGGAATGCAGGGTTGCTGGGGCTGGGCCCAGAAGCAGCAGCACCAGGGAAAAGGATTCGAAAACCCTCTCTCTTGTATGAGGGCTTTGAGAGCCCCACAATGGCTTCGGTGCCTGCTTTGCAACTTACCCCTGCCAACCCACCACCCCCGGAGGTGTCCAATCCCAAAAAGCCAGGACGAGTTACCAACCAGCTGCAATACCTACACAAGGTAGTGATGAAGGCTCTGTGGAAACATCAGTTCGCATGGCCATTCCGGCAGCCTGTGGATGCTGTCAAACTGGGTCTACCGGTGAGTAGAGACATTGGAGCCGGGGAGGTGTGGGATGAGCAAGAATGCGTGTGAATGGGGGTGGTCTGCCTAGTGTAGATGCTGCGGCCCCTAGGGAGTTCCCATTTCTCCCCTGTAGGGCAGTTAGCTACCAGATTTCTGGGTATCTTGGTCCTTTGTGATTGATCCGACCGCTTGCTGTAACTATCTTGGCATCTTTCCTTGTGCCCTCCATGTGTCCTTCCTTAACTTTTGTGCCCTGGCTCCATTTTACAGATTCCCACCTCGGGTTGGGAGAGGACCACGGTGGCCAAAATTCTTAGCTTCTTCCTTTCCCTCATGCAGCCCATGGATAGCCAGCCCCAGAGGTAATGTCACAGGATGGGAAGTTTCCAGAGTGGGTGGGAGGTGGGTGGTTAGAGAAAGGCAGCAGGGGCCTCCCTGTGGATGTCAAGAATCTTTTTTATTTATTTATTTATTTTGTCCCACAGTTTAATTGGGGCCGCAGTTTAACTGTTCCTTTGATGCATAGGGGGTGTGTGTGTGTGTGTGTGTGTGTGTGAGAGTCGGGGATCGGTAGTCTCCCTATAAGCATTTATTTTTCTGTGGTTCTGACCTAACATTTCTTTATTTAGGATTATCACAAAATTATAAAACAGCCTATGGACATGGGTACTATTAAGAGGAGACTTGAAAACAATTATTATTGGGCTGCTTCAGAGTGTATGCAAGATTTTAATACCATGTTCACCAACTGTTACATTTACAACAAGGTGAGTTTTTCTGTGTGTTCATTTAGTAGGTGGGGAGAAACAGTAATTTCTATTATTGCTGGATATGTTGTCTACATAAAGTTTAAATCCTTTGCTACTGAAGGTGTTATCCAGGTAGGGTAGTCGGAGTCTTAAAAACCTGACTCTAGATGGTACTATTGAACACAGTGATGTGACTTCAGAGCTCTAGTTGAAGGTTATTTAGAACACTTCATACTTGGGGGTGGTGGTCCTGTTTCTTAGAAATCACCAGAGACCTGAGTAGACCAGGGATCTGTTTTCTTGTCAGCTCTCAAGTTTTTTCTTCTTTCGAATTTTGGGAGACAGTTAGGAGAAAGTGGAAATTAGTAGTGGCCTGGAGTAGAAATTTTCTTTAAGATTTGATGACAAGATGACTGGTGGGGGTATGGTAATGGCCTAGGGCCTGAATGCCTCTGAGAAAGATGGTGTGTATCTATCTTCTGTTGGCATTTTTTAACTTTCTTTATTGCTGTCTGTGTTCTCATAGCCCACTGATGATATTGTCCTAATGGCACAAACGCTGGAAAAGATATTCCTACAGAAGGTTGCATCAATGCCACAAGAAGAACAAGAGCTGGTAGTGACCATCCCTAAGAACAGCCACAAGAAGGGGGCCAAGTTGGCAGGTAGGAAGAGTGGGAGTTTTGCAAATGGACAACTTAAAGATGGGGAAGAGAATCAAACTACACTTTTTTCCTTTTTTCTAGCGCTCCAGGGCAGTGTTACCAGTGCCCATCAGGTGCCTGCCGTCTCTTCTGTGTCACACACAGCCCTGTATACTCCTCCACCTGAGATACCTACCACTGTCTTCAACATTCCCCACCCATCAGTCATTTCCTCTCCACTTCTCAAGTCCTTGCACTCTGCTGGACCCCCGCTCCTTGCTGTTACTGCAGCTCCTCCAGCCCAGCCCCTTGCCAAGGTATGATCTGTGGATTTCCTCTGGGCAGCAGGGAGGCAAGGGTCTTAAGTAAAGTGGGCTTGGAGTGACAGGTTCCCTATCTTGTTTCTTTCTGCAGAAAAAAGGCGTAAAGCGGAAAGCAGATACTACCACCCCTACACCTACAGCCATCTTGGCTCCTGGTTCTCCAGCTAGCCCTCCTGGGAGTCTTGAGCCTAAGGCAGCACGGCTTCCCCCTATGCGTAGAGAGAGTGGTCGCCCCATCAAGCCCCCACGCAAAGACTTGCCTGACTCTCAGCAACAACACCAGAGCTCTAAGAAAGGAAAGCTTTCAGAACAGTTAAAACATTGCAATGGCATTTTGAAGGAGTTACTCTCTAAGAAGCATGCTGCCTATGCTTGGCCTTTCTATAAACCAGTGGATGCTTCTGCACTTGGCCTGCATGACTACCATGACATCATTAAGCACCCCATGGACCTCAGCACTGTCAAGGTACCCACTGCATGGGGCAGATGGGATGCTCAAGCAGTGATGGGAGCCTAGGTGCAAAACAATAAGTCTCCTTATGTGGGCACACAGCAGTCTTTGGTTCTTGGCATTTTACTTTTATAAAATAATAGTGGAACAGAAGGTCTGGTGTTTTGAGAATTTGTATTTCTTGGAGTTTGAAACAGTAGGGTGGGGTTTCTTTGTCTTGAGAAAAATACTGTCTATAATTAAGTACTAATGTGGCAGTGTTGGGTTAAGGAAGTTATAGGGTGGAAAGACAGGCATAGGCCACCTCTCTGTCACTTAGAAATGATTTCTTTTTCTAGACATAAATATTTCTTCAACCCACCCAAATTCCTTTGACTTCAAACTTGAACCCCAGGGCACAGATCCTTAAGGTCATCCCCACTGTGCTCTCAAGAGAGGGCTCTTCTTGTGGTGTCTGGGGTTGGCAGGGAAAGGTGAGTCTTCCTGCCTGTGCAGCTTCTGATGCTGCCTCCTTCTGCAGCGGAAGATGGAGAACCGTGATTACCGGGATGCACAGGAGTTTGCTGCTGATGTACGGCTTATGTTCTCCAACTGCTATAAGTACAATCCCCCAGATCACGATGTTGTGGCAATGGCACGAAAGCTACAGGTGAGTGGAAAGGTTGGAGTTTGAAAAATAAATGGTATGGGGAGTTATTTTGTCATGTGTGCTGCATAGCCTCAACGTGAGGGTCTCACTGTTCTGTACAGTTGTAAATTGGAGCTATATCACTTGGTGGCTGGGTATGTAGGGCACTGTTTATCAGCATAGTTTTGAGTTTGTGCCTCTTTCTAGGATGTATTTGAGTTCCGTTATGCCAAGATGCCAGATGAACCACTAGAACCAGGGCCTTTACCAGTCTCTACTGCCATGCCCCCTGGCTTGGCCAAATCGTCTTCAGAGTCCTCCAGTGAGGAAAGTAGCAGTGAGAGCTCCTCTGAGGAAGAGGAGGAGGAAGATGAGGAGGACGAGGAGGAAGAAGAGAGTGAAAGCTCAGACTCAGAGGAAGAAAGGGCTCATCGCTTAGCAGAACTACAGGAACAGGTATTTTGTCACTCTTGAAAGTTTTTATTGGGTAAGAGGTTCATGCCCTTTGTCCTCATTTTTTCTTCTTGTTATTTTATCTTTATTTACTTTTTCCACTTCATGTTTTTTTTCCTTTAGCTTCGGGCAGTACATGAACAACTGGCTGCTCTGTCCCAGGGTCCAATATCCAAGCCCAAGAGGAAAAGAGAGAAAAAAGAGAAAAAGAAGAAACGGAAGGCAGAGAAGCATCGAGGCCGAGCTGGGGCCGATGAAGATGACAAGGGGCCTAGGGCACCCCGCCCACCTCAACCTAAGAAGTCCAAGAAAGCAAGTGGCAGTGGGGGTGGCAGTGCTGCTTTAGGCCCTTCCGGCTTTGGACCTTCTGGAGGAAGTGGCACCAAGTGAGTTAGAGTAGGAAGCAGAGACTAGTTTGGCTATTTCTGTCTCTCTGGGGGATGCCATCTCTCTTTGCAAAGATAATTCTAAATGGCCAGTTAACAGATACAATAGGCTTTGAGCAGTGGTCCCCAACCTTTTTGGCACCAGGGACCAGTTTCGTGGAACACAGATTTTACCACAGACAGGGTTTGAGGGGATGGTTTTTGGGATGAAACTGTTCCACCTCAGATCATTGGGCCATTGGATTCCCATAAGGAGCATGCAGCCTGGATATGTACCATGCGCACTTCACAGTAGGGTTCATGCTTCTATGAGAATCTAATGCTTCTGCTGATGTGACAGGCAGTGATGCCCACATGCCGGCTGTTCACCTCCTGCGTAGCCCAGTAACAGGCCACGGACTGGTACTGGTCTGGGGGTTGGGACCCCTGGCTTTGGGAGTCAGGGTGTTTCACAGCTACTCTGACAGTGAACTCAAAGTAGCCATAAACTAGAAACATGAAGATGGCTGTGTTCCAAAAAGACTTTATTTGCAAAGACACGTGGCGATCAGATTTGTTCTCTGGGCCATATAGTTTGCCTGTTGCTCTAAATCAATGAGTCTAGACTTGTTTTTCATGGCGTAGTAGTTTTTGGTTTTTTGGTGTGGTTTTGTGTTTTTTTTTGTTTGTTTTTTTTTTTTTTTTTTTTTTTTTAAAGACTCCAGGCTGGAGTGCAGTGGCGTGATCTCGGCTTACTGCAACCTCCACTTCTCGGGTTCAAGCGATTCTCCTGCCTCAGCCTCCCAAGTAGCCAGAATTACAGGCATGCGCCACCACGCCCAGCTAATTTTTGTATTTTTAGTGCGCAGCTAGTTTATGTAGTTTTAGTGGAGACGGGGTTTCGCCATGTTGGGCAGGCTGGTCTTGAACTCCTGACCTCAAGTGATCTGCCCGCCTTGGCCTCCCAAAGTGCTGGGATTACAAATCTGAGCCACTGCAGCTGGCCCATGGTGTAGTTTGGTAGTGTTTAAGGGAGCAGAAAGACCCATGTCAGTATACCTAAACAGGTATACCTTGTTTTATTGTGCTTCACTTTACGGAGTTTTTTTTAGATACTACTTTTTTTTTTAGTTGAAGATTTGTGACAACCCTGTGTGGAGCAAGTCTTTCAACAGTTTTTCCAACATGTTTGTGTGTCACATTTTTAGTAATATTTTTTCATTAAGGTATGTACGTACATTGTCTTTTTAAAGACATGTTATTGCCTACTTACAGTCAAGAGCAAAATGCTCTGTTTCACTATACAGTGTCCCAGTAGCCCACCTCTTACTTGGCCATTGAATGGAAAAACAGAAGCTCCACTCTGGGCAGGAAATAGGATCACTGAATTATAACAGTGGGAACATACTGGAAGAGGTTAATGAAGCTTCTTTTGCTGACAACTCTTTTTGCCCTTAGGCTCCCCAAAAAGGCCACAAAGACAGCCCCACCTGCCCTGCCTACAGGTTATGATTCAGAGGAGGAGGAAGAGAGCAGGCCCATGAGTTACGATGAGAAGCGGCAGCTGAGCCTGGACATCAACAAATTACCTGGGGAGAAGCTGGGCCGAGTTGTGCATATAATCCAAGCCAGGGAGCCCTCTTTACGTGATTCAAACCCAGAAGAGATTGAGATTGATTTTGAAACACTCAAGCCATCCACACTTAGAGAGCTTGAGCGCTATGTCCTTTCCTGCCTACGTAAGAAACCCCGGAAGCCCTACAGTACGTATGAAATGAGGTTCATCTCATGGTTCTGAGGACAGTTGAGGAAAGATGGTGGGGTCTGTTTGCATTCAGGATTGTCAGCTCCCAGGATAATGGGATGTGTTGGTTGGCAGCTGACGTTCAAGAAGGGAACTTGGGAACCTTAGGGGCCCATAATAAGATGCTTGGGGCAATCTTAATGTATCCTGATAAATTTCTTTCATTAGCCATTAAGAAGCCTGTGGGAAAGACAAAGGAGGAACTGGCTTTGGAGAAAAAGCGGGAATTAGAAAAGCGGTTACAAGATGTCAGCGGACAGCTCAATTCTACTAAAAAGCCCCCCAAGAAAGGTGAGTATATACTTTCATGCCACTACAGATTGACTCCATCCTGCCTTCTTGACTGTCTTTTATTGACAAATGAAGATTCAGACTTGAACGTCTTTAACTTTCGAATTTGTTCTGCAGCGAATGAGAAAACAGAGTCATCCTCTGCACAGCAAGTAGCAGTGTCACGCCTTAGCGCTTCCAGCTCCAGCTCAGATTCCAGCTCCTCCTCTTCCTCGTCGTCGTCTTCAGACACCAGTGATTCAGACTCAGGCTAAGGGGTCAGGCCAGATGGGGCAGGAAGGCTCCGCAGGACCGGACCCCTAGACCACCCTGCCCCACCTGCCCCTTCCCCCTTTGCTGTGACACTTCTTCATCTCACCCCCCCCTGCCCCCCTCTAGGAGAGCTGGCTCTGCAGTGGGGGAGGGATGCAGGGACATTTACTGAAGGAGGGACATGGACAAAACAACATTGAATTCCCAGCCCCATTGGGGAGTGATCTCTTGGACACAGAGCCCCCATTCAAAATGGGGCAGGGCAAGGGTGGGAGTGTGCAAAGCCCTGATCTGGAGTTACCTGAGGCCATAGCTGCCCTATTCACTTCTAAGGGCCCTGTTTTGAGATTGTTTGTTCTAATTTATTTTAAGCTAGGTAAGGCTGGGGGGAGGGTGGGGCCGTGGTCCCCTCAGCCTCCATGGGGAGGGAAGAAGGGGGAGCTCTTTTTTTACGTTGATTTTTTTTTTTCTACTCTGTTTTCCCTTTTTCCTTCCGCTCCATTTGGGGCCCTGGGGGTTTCAGTCATCTCCCCATTTGGTCCCCTGGACTGTCTTTGTTGATTCTAACTTGTAAATAAAGAAAATATTATTCAAGTTTTGAGTTACCTTAATATTTGCTTTTGTAGTGTTTCAAAAGGAACATCATAAGAATTGTCTTGATAATTTTGAGGGAAATATTACTGCAGTGAGAAAAGGCAATAGCTAACCTATAATTGGATTGTCTTAATTTTTAAACCAGTAGGCTTTTGCTGTGTTTTTAATAAAGTAAATATGACTTTTGTAAATTGAGTCCTTAGAAGTAATCTTTAGGTCTACAATTTGCTCTTGTTTAAATGAAAAATAGTACTGTGGCTCATTCATGCTTTAACCAAGAACTCAAAATTTTGAGGTAGGCTTTAGGTTTTTCCCTGTGGCACTGGATGTGTGAATTTTCTCCTGAGCAGACTTAAAATATGAGAAAAGGGTGGGAGGTAGCCGAACATAAGTACTTTATGCATTGAGTTTATTGCCTTTTAAAAGGAAATTGGCCTGTAATCCCAGCACTTTGGGAGGCCGAGGCGGGCAGATCACGAGGTCAGGAGATCGAGACCATGGTGAAACCCTGTCTACTAAAAAAAAATTAGCTGGGCGAGGTGGCGGGTACCTGTAGTCCCAGCTACTCGGGAGGCTGAGGCAGCAGAATGGCGTGAACTCGGGAGGCGGGGTTCAGTGAGCCGAGATCGCGCCACTGCACTCCAGCCTGGGTGGTAGACACTCCGTCTCAAAAAAAAAAGTAATTGGGCCTACTACATTGTTAAACATTGTTAAATTTTGCTGCCATGGTCACACACAAATTTACAGATAGTTTATTAGTAGAATACTAAAGAGTATTCCAACGATTAAATCACAAAACTGTGCTTTCTGCATACCCCCTTGTCTTGCTAAGGGGAGAGAAGGGTTGTATAAAAAGTTTAGGGGGTTGGGATGTTTGCATTCTGGAATTTGGGGCTTTAATACTGGAAAAGTGAGACATTTGCTTAGTATAGTGTACCATAGTAGGAAACCTGGATAGAGACATGGAAATTAGAATCAGGAATGTAGTAAAGCAAATGGTTTATTTTGCTGTAAATGACACCACAAACTAAGTGTAGGGCAACACCACAAACTAAATGTAGGAAGCAATAAATTTTACTAGTGATGCTCAGCCCTCTTTAGGAATTCCGGCTAAACTGGGGCTTGAGCAACAATTTTCAAAAGCTCGGGAGATGGTAATAAAAAATTAGGTTTGTGAACCACCTGCTACTGTTTGCCAAGCACTTAGAGGGAAACAAACCCTTGTTTGGGCTTTCTTGCTAACTTGTGTGCACCAGTGAAAGCTCTTGAGCTCCCTTTGAGCTCTGGTTCCCTTTTGAGAATAACAGATGTTGAGGATTCGTAAGTACTTAATAGAGACGCGTTGGGCAATAGGTGATGAGATACAAATTAAAGTTCTGAAAATCGGAGTAAATAGATTTAAGCTAAGTGCATGTCTATGTCAAGGATTACATCTCATTTCAGAGGGAATTGAAGGATTTAGTTGGATTAGTTTTGGGACAAAATATAGAATATTTTGACTGCAGCCCCTTCTGCTCATGTACTTTTAAGGTTTGTTTTCTGTAGTTCGGAAAAATAAAAGTTTCAACCTGACATTGGAGGCCCCTGAGTACTTAATTCCCTGTAAATGGAACCCAGACCGCCCTAAATGCTTTAAGAGAGAGAAGGGCTGGCTGACACAGGGGCTTCAGACCTGCCTTAAACCAATTGGACTAGTCTCTTAATTGACTTTAGTTTGAACTTATTTCAAGCCTGTCTCACTTAGGGATTGTAATTGTTTCAGGAGTTTGGTTGAGTTCCATCTTGGTTGCCAAAGGACTTTATTCCAAAATAGCAGTCTCCAGCACAACTCAAAGGACTAGTGGAGTCCTGTGGGCATTATTTCCCCCTATGCTCCTCTCAGCTCTTGGAATCATGGGTTCTATTGCTGCTGCTTTTTCCCTCTCCCCTCATGCTGCCATTTACTGCCTTTTATTGCGTCCATAGGAAGCCTTTTGTTGGGTTGTGGGGGAAGGTGAGAGTCGGTCTTATTTACTCAGTCACACATTTATTGAGTTCCCTTGATTGCCTTTTCAGCAAACTGTTAGGCCTGTAGACCTGGACGTTGCCAAGCCAGAGGGTATAAGGTGAAGATAAGACAAGGTCTTATCATGGAGTTTGCTTAGCACGAATAGGGTGCAATTATTAACCATCATGGTGTGGTAATTATACTGATTGAATCCAAGATATAGGCATGACTTGGTCTTCACAGACCATCCTTATTGTGCACCCATATGTGGACCCCAGTTCCAGCCTGCCTGTAACCTTCCCCAAAGTCCTGCTCTTAGGTTCACTCGGGACTACCTTGATTGGAAGGCCCTGCTTCCATGAGTGACCAGCATGAAGGACTCCCAGGACAAGGACCAGAGGTGACTGGTGTTACTCTGGGGCTTAGTGCAAGACTGGAGGAAGATTTTCCTGAGCAATTAGAGAGTGGCTGTAATGGAGAGCTGGGAAGGAGATGTGGGAATGGTAGCATGGAACTAATGTGTTGTCACCATGATTTCATTTTTTCCTGGGTCATCACCCTAAAGATACTCACAAAATCCCACTAGCTGGTCTCCAGCACTGAATGAGACGACAGCTTCTTGCTCTCAATTTATATTCTAGGATCGGGGAAAGGGGCAGCATTAGACAACTAGTCACACGATTTTTAACAAAAATAAGTAATTCTAACAGGACAATGTGCAGAGGTCTAGCAAGAATTTAGAAAAGAGGGTTCTCTGGTCTAAGCTGAGAGCTATTCAGATATCTCAGAACGATGAGTTCCTTCCTGTTTGTAAGGGGTGGATGGGTGGGAGCAGGGAGTAGTGAACATTGCCAGCAGAAGAAACAGCAACTGAGAAGGTAACTAGGTGATGCTGAAGCAGCAAGGATGAAGGTGAGTGCTTTGAGATGCTTTGAATTTACATCTCAAAGACTAATAGCTAACATTTATTGAGCACTTACTGTGTCCCATGCACTGTGCTAAATAAAAACTTACCCTGTAAACTCATTTGGTCCTCACTATAATCCTGTGAGGTACATCTTGTCTGCATTTAACAGATAAAGAAATGAGGCACAGAGAGATTAGTCAATTTGCCCAACATCACCACATTGTCAGTGAGCACTGGAGGTGGGTTTTGAAACCAGGCGATCTGGCTTCAGGGTCCACATTTATAACTACTGCACTAGACTTCCAGTGCTGTGGGCCAGTAGGGAGCTAGGAGATAGACATGCTTTAAGGAAATTGCACTAGGGACAATCATGTTAGGGTTGGTGGGGTGTTGAGAGTGGATAGTTTAGAAAGCAATTGCAGCAGTTAATCCCAGCCAGTGAGAATAGTGGTGTAGAAGAGAAAGGCAGCAATGTAGATGAAGAAATGTAGATAGATTTGAGAGCTATGTAGGAGTTAAAATAGATGGGACTTATTCTCAAAAGGTTCTTGTCTCCACACATTAAAGGAACAGCAGAGCACACGTGCACTTGCAGACATACAGCTCTCAGAGTCCCTAGCACAGAGCTTTCCAATAGTGGAAGCTTGATATTTTGTTGACTAAAGGAGTGCCACCTGGCTGACTGGCAGATTTGAATGGAGCTCCCTCCAGCATGGCTTGCCAAAGGGGCAGGGGTTCTGAGGCTCTTGTAGACTGCCACTGAAGGTATTTGGCGCCACCTGTTGGGCGTGTTACCCACGATTGCCTCCTGAATCTATTGTCATTTTTGTGTCCTGCCCCCGAGGTTAGGTGGTTCTTCCCTTCTTACTTTCCTAAACTTCAACTCTTAAAATGTGAGCCTTCATTTTTATGACCCAGAGGGTCACAAAAGAAGGAGATTAGGCCTTTTTAGTCCTTATCTCCCTTTACCTCTGAAGCATCCCATGGGGCTTCCCTAGCATTTTATTTTATATTGATTTATTTATTTATTTTTAAGAAAGAGGATTTCTGTCACCCAGGCTGGAGTGCAGTGGTGTGATCATAGCTCACTGTAGCTTCGACCTTCTGGGCTCAAGTAATGCTCTTGCCTCAGCCTCCTGAGTAGCTGGGATTACAGGCATGAGCCACCGCACCCTGCATCTCCTGACTTCTTTGACTTGACACCACTTGTTCCTAGCTCTCATACTTTTCAGACAGCCATTTCTTAGTCTGCTTCTTTAAAGTCTCTGCCTCTGCCTCCCATAATATATTGTCCCTTATGACACCTTTCTTTGTCCTCTTTTTATTTGCACAGTATTTTTAAGCAAGTTTACCCATTCCTCTGGAGGCACCTCCCACCCATAAAATCTGTGTCTCTGTTTAGACCTTGTATTAGTCCATTCTCACATGGCTATGAGGAAATACCTGAGACTAGGTGATTTATAAAGGAAAGAGGTTTAATTGACTCACAGTTCTGCATGGCTGGGGAGGCCTCAGGAAACTTACAATCATGGCGGAAGACACCTCTTCACAGGGTGGCAGGAGAATGAGTGCCAAAGTGAAGTGGGGAAGCCCCTTATAAAACCATAAGATCTCGTGAGAACTCACTATCACGAGAACAGCATGGGGGAAACTGCCCCCATATCAAACCTTGAGTCAAAGTTCCAAGTGCCTAATGCAATGCCTAATGGCAAGGTCCCATAAGCTCGTGCACACATTTTTAGAAAAGATTCTACCTTTTTCCCCAAACATGTCCCTCGCAGTGAGTTCTCTAAGTCAGCAGTCCCCAGCTTTTTTGGCACCAAGGACTGGTTTTGTGGAAGACAACTTTTCTATGGATGGAGGCGGGGAGAATGGTTTCCAGATCAAACTGTTCTACTTCAGATCACCAGGCATTAGATTCTCAAAAGGAGTTTGCAACCTTCCCTCGCATGCTCAGTTCACAATAGGGTTTGCAGTCCTGTGAGAATCTAATGCCGCTGCTGATCTGACAAGAGGCAGAGCTTGCTCGCTGCTCACCTCCTGCTGTGCACCCCAGTTCCTACCAGGCCACGGACTGGTAGTGTTCAGTGGCCCAGAGGTTGGGGGACCCCTGCTATAAGGAACAAGCACTTATATAGAGTTTACTATGTACCAGACACTTATGAGCACTTTTGCAATTTAGTCTTCATAATAATCCTAAGAGGTAGGTACTCATCACCATTTTATACATGAGGAAACAGACATTTAGTAACAGTTCTATAGCTGCCTAGTTTCTTCCCCTTATTCTCCCCCAACTCCCTGTTCAGCCATTGAGGTCTGTTGAGCCTTCCTCTGTCCCTTCTCTCAGTGCCCCTCATCAGCCTGGACTCTCACACGACTCTGTCACTAGTCCATGTCTTTCAGCTATACTGTGTTGTTTCAGGGCCCATCACTCACCTCTCCCTTCATGCCCTGCCCTATCCCCACCACACCAGTGAAGACCTCCCTTCCTGGGTTATCATCAGACCTGTCACTTGCAGTGAGGCCTCACCTCAACTAAGGAGGTCAAAATAAGAATAACCTCTCATGTGAGTAAGAGGAACTCATCATCCTTGCCAAGCTTTCCAACCAACCCCAAACTTCAAGTATTTTTGTGTCCTTGTACAGTACGTGAATATTTCTACATAATAAAATATTTCTTTCATCTCTTTGCCAAATGAGGACATTGCTCATTTTGTCAGACAAGCTAATGTTTGATTTGAGATTGAAGGAGAAAAGGGATTTATTCTCCAGCGATAAGCATTTTTGCTGGTGTTTGACAAACAAAAAAAGAGCAGTTCTTCTATTAGCTGCCACTGTCAGACCTCATGGAGTCAGTTGCTATTCTAATTGCTGAGACTATGAGAAGGTAACACTGGTTAATTGATGAATACTTTCCCCTCTTCTGCCCCTGCAGAAGATGTGTTGGAACTGGCTTCTCTATGAAGGCAGGTTGTAGAGACAATGACAGTTCTTCCAAGAAAGACAGTTATTACCTTGTCTTCCTGCATGGTTTTGTTTCTCACCCAGAGTTCCTGCAAAAAAAAAAAAAAAAAAAGAGACATTTTGCAGTTTCATCTACCGATTTTCTCCTCTCTCTCAAAAATAATGTTTTTAAAGACAGAGTCTTGCTCTGTAGCCCAGGCTTGAGTACAGTGGCACAATCTTGGCTCATTGCAACCTCTGCCTCCCAGGTTCAAGCAGTTCTCGTGCCTCAGCCTCCCAAGTAGCTGGAGACTACAGGTGTGCACCACCGCACCCAGATAATTTTTGTATGTTTAGTAGAGATGGGGTTTCCCCATGTTGGCCAGTCTGGTCTCGAACTTCTGATCTCAAGTGATCCGATCCACCCGCAACTGCCTCCCCAAATGCTGGGATTACAGGCATGAGCCACCATGCCCCACCCAAAAATAATTGTTTTAAAGCAGTTCTCAAGGTTTTCTAAGTTTACTTATACTCTTTTAACTCTTAAGTAACCCCAGGTAAGTGGAAGCTGAAAAGTTACAAAATGATAGTTACAAGGGCCAAGCAGTCCTGCATCCCTGTCAGAGTGAAACTTCATTCTCTCTGATGCAAAATAAAATGATGCTTGTTCTTCCAGATCCATGGTTACCATGACATATTATTCTGTATTCTTGATTTAAGAAAGCACTGGCACTGCCCAATCTCTGTGCCCTTTGATTGCTATGTCAAGCTTCAGGTTGCACACCCTGCCTTCTGTAAGGAACTTTCCTTACTTGGCCCCCAATTCCCTGATGTCTGGTCTGTGACCTGGTGTTGAAACTGGCTATGACACTGTGCTTAGACTTCCTCTTAAAATTCTGCATTCTGTTCTGGACCTGTTTCCAACCACAATAACACAACCCACTGATTTACTGTTCTTAAATCCATCTCTGCTATTCAGGCTGATTCCCAGTGATCTCATGTCCTTCTATCACTGCCTTTGGTCTTGCAAATAGACCCTACAGAGCCCCGCAACTATTTAACCAATCATTTGGCCAGGGAGTAAGGCAAGAGACAAAAATTGAGGGAAGGAGAGAATGATGAGCAACTGAGGGAGCAGCTTGGGGTTGAAAAGCTACCTCAGAAAGCAGTTCTGTGATTGGGAGGAAGGTGGCTGATGTTACTGCAGGGGGTATCAAAAGCATCTGTCCTGAACTTCAGAGTCAGGTAGAAAACAAAACAGAAAGAATCTTCTTTTCCTCTGAGTCTGGGGAAACTGAGAGAGAAGGAGAAAGCCAAGGAAAGGGAACTGACACTCACTGAGCCGTTGCTATCTGCCAGGTGTATATTGATGGGCACTTTTCATAGTCATCTTTTTTGGTCCACATGACGTTCCTACCACACATATGTTATTATTTTTATTTTAGAGAGGAGGAAACTCTAAGTTAATGTGCATAAGATCACAGAGCTAGTGAGACAAGATAAGGCTAATTTCAAAGTTTATATCTTTACATACCAAACATTTCTAGTTATATTCTAGATATAAGCAAACAAGGAATTCAGAAGTAAAACTTAGCAAAAACTTCCAGATATTGTTAACTCCACCAACCTGAGCTAAAGAATGAGGCTAGAGATGAACACACACACACATGCATGCACACACATACACACAGTCACACACACACCTCAATCTTTTTAGAACTTTATTTTATTTATTTATTTATTTATTTATTTATTTTGAGACACAGTCTTGCTCTGTCGCCTAGGCCGGAGTGCAGTGGCACGATCTCGGCTCACTGCAACCTCCACCTCCTGGGTTCAAGCAATTCTCCTGCCTCAGCCTCCCAAGTAGCTGGGATTACAGGCACCTGCCACCATGCTGGACTAATTTTTGTATTTTTAGTAGAGACGGGTTTTCGCCATGTTGGCCAGGCTGGTCTCAAACTCCTGGCCTCAAGCGATCCGCCCATCTCGGCCTCCCAAAGTGCTGGGATTACAGGCATGACCCACCAGGCCGAGCCTAGAATTTTATTTTTATTATTTTTATTTCGATAGCTTTAGGAGTACAGGTGGCTTTTATTTACATGGATGAATTGTATAGTGGTGAAGTCCGGGCTTTTAGTGTACCCATTACCCAATAGTGTATATTGTACTCAGTAAATAATTTTTCATCCTTCACCCCACACCCCACTCCCCACTTCTGTGTCTCCAGTGTCCGTTATACTACTCTGTATGGCTTTGCATACCCATAGCTTAGCTCCTACTTACAAGTGAGTGTTAAATTAGGTTTAGCCTAAAGCTGCTTCCTTACATGTTTTAAGTTCAGCCTAAAGGTTTCTCCATACATAGTAAACTGAAACCTAACTTGATGTGTAATCAGACTGAAACCTACTCTAGTGCCAATCACTGAGTTTTGGCCAATCAAAGGTGATCAACTGTTCAAACTGTGTTCAAATAAACAAATGCCAAGCTTTAACCAATCCTGCTGTTTCTGTACCTCATGTCTGTTTTCTGTACATCACTTTACTTTTTCTGTTCATAAATATTCCACCACTTGGCTGTTCTGGAGTCTCTCAGCCTACTCTGGCTCAGAAGGCTCCCCAATTCACAAATTGTTCTTTGCTCAATTAAACTCTGTTGAATTTCATTCGTCTAAGGTTTTTTTTCTTTAACAATGAGAACACGTAGTACTTGGTTTTCTGTTCCTGAGTTACTTCACTTAGGAAAATGGTCCAGTTCCATCCAAGTTGCTGGAAAATATATTATTTCATTCTTTTTTATGGATGAGTACGATTTCATGGTATATACACATCACATTTTCTTATCCACTCATCAGTTTATGGGCACTTAGGTTGATTCCATACCTCTGCAATTGTGAATTCTATGTCTTTTTGATGTAATGACTTCTTTTCTTTTGGGTAGATACCCAGGAGTGGGACTGCTAGATCAAATGGTAGATCTACTTTTAGTTCTTTGAGAAATCTCCATAGTGTTTTCCACAGAGGTTGTACTAATTTACATTCCCACCAGCAATGTATAAGCTATCCCTTTTCACTGCATCCTTGCCAACATCTATTGCTTTTTGACTTTTTAATATCAATGATACTGGCTGGGATAAGGTAGTATCTCATTGTGGTTTTAATTTGCATTTCCAGGCTGGGCGCGATGGCTCACGCCTGTAATCCCAGCACTTTGGGAGGCTGAGGTGGGAGTTCGAGACCAGCCTGACCAACATGGAGAAACCCCATCTCTACTAAAAATACAAAATTAGCTGGGCATGGTGGCGCATGCCTGTAATCCCAGCTACTCGGGAGGCTGAGGCAGGAGAACCACTTGAACCCAGGAGGCGGAGGCTGCAGTGAGCCAAGATCGCACCACTGCGCTCCAGCCTGGGCAACAAGAGCGAAACTCTGTCTCAAAAAAAAAAAAAAAAAAAATTGCATTTCCCTGATGATAGTGATGTTGAACATTTTTACATATGTTTCTGGACATTTGTATATCTTCTTTTGAGAAATGTCTGTCAATGTCGTTTGCTCACTTTTTAATGGGATTATTATTTGGTTTTTTTTTTTTCTCTCATTTGTTTGAGCTCCTTCTAGATTCTGGATATTAGTCCTTTGTCAGATATTTGCAAATATTTTCTCTCATTCTGTGGTTGTCTGTTTAACTCTTGATTATTTCCTCTGCTGTGCAGAAGCTTTTTAGTTTAATTAGGTAGGTCCTATTTATTTATTTTTGCTTCTGTTGGATTTGTTTTTGAGGTCCTATTCATAAATTCTTTGCCTAGGCCAATATTCATAAGAGTTTTTCCAAGGTTTCTTCCAGAATTTTTATGATCACAGGTCTTAGATTTAAGTCGTTAATCTATCTTGAGTTAATTTTCGTATATGTTGAGAAACAGGGATCTGGTTTCGTTTTATTATTTTTATTTTTATTTTTTTTTGAGATGGAGTCTTGTTTGTCACCCAGGCTAGAGTGCAATGGTACGGTCTCGGCTCACTGCAACCTCCACCTCCTGGGTTCAAGTGATTCTCCTGCCTCAGCCTCCCAAGTAGCCAGGACTACAGGTGCACGCCACCACTCCTGGCAAAATCTTGTATTTTTTAGTAGAGACAGGGTTTCACTATGTTGGCCAGGCTGATCTCAAACTCCCGACCTCATGATCCACCCACCTCGGCCTCCCAAAATGCTGGGATTACAGGCGTGAGCCACCACGCCCGGCCCTAGTTTCGTTCTTCTACCTGTGTCAATCCAATTTTCCCAGCACTATCTATTGAATAGGGTGTCCTTTCTTCAGTGTATTGTTTTGTCTGCTTCGTTGAAGATTAGTTGGTTGTAGGTATTTGGTTTTATTTCTGGGTTCTCTATTCTGTTCCATTGATCTACTGTGTACTTTTATACCGGTACCATGCTGTTTTGGTTACTCTAGCCTTGTAGTGTAATTTGAAGTTGGGTAATGTGATGCCTCCAGATTTATTCTTTTTGTTTAGGATTGCTTTGGCTATCCAGGCTTTTTTTTTATTGTTGTTCCATAGGAATTTTAGGATTGCTTTTTCTAATTCTGTGAAAAATGATGCTGATATTTTGATAGGAATTGCATTAAACCTGTAGATTGCTTTGGGCAGTATGGTCATTTTTCATATTGATTCTTCCAATCTATGAGCATGGCATGGTTTTCCATTTGTTTGTGTCATCTATGATTTCTTTCATCAGTGTTTTGTAGTTCTCATTAGGGAGATCTTTCACCTCCTTGGTTAAGTATATTCCTAGACATTTACAATTTTTTTTGTAGCTATTGCAAGTGAGATTGAGTTCTTGATTTGATTGTCTGGTTGGTCGTTATTGGTATAGAGCTGTGTTATTGATTTGTGTATGTTGATTTTGTAACCTGAGACTTTACTGAATTCATTTATCAAATCTAAGAGTCTTTTGGAGGAGTCTTTAGCGTTTTCTAGGTATAAGATTATGTTATTGGCAAACAGAGATAATTTGACTTCCTCTTTTCCAATTTGGGTGTGCTTTCCCTTGTCTGTTTTCTCTGGCTAGGACTTCCAGTACTATGATGAATAGGAGTGGTGAAGGTGGGCATCTTTGTCTTGTCCAGTTCTTAGGGGGACTGGACAAGTTCCCCTGGACAGTTTTTGTTTTTTTGTGTGTGTGAGACGGAGTCTCACTCTGTCACCCAGACTGGAGTGCAGTGGTGCGACCTCAGCTCACTGCAACCCCTGCATCCGAGGTTCAAGCAATTCTCCTGCCTCAGCCTCCCAAGTAGCTGGGACTACAGGCATGCAGTCCCACCATGCCTAGCTAATTTTTTTTTTTTTTTTTTTTTTAGTAGAGATGAGGTTTCACTATTGTTGACCAGACTGGTGTCGAACTCCTGACCTCAGGTGAATTGCCCACCTTGGCCTCCCAAACTGCTGGCATTATAGGCGTGAGCCACTGTGCCCGGCCGGCTTTCAACTTTCATCCATTCAGTATGATATTGGCTGTGTGTTTATCATATCTGACTTTTATAATTTTGAGGTTTGTTTCTTCTATGCCTAGTTTGTTGAAATTTTTTATTATAAAGGGATACTGGATTTTACCAAATGCTTTTTATGCATTGATTGAAATGATCATATGACTTCGTTTTAAATTCTGTTTATGTGGTGAATCACATTTATTGACTTGCATATGTTGAACCATCCTTGCCTCCCTATGATGAAACCCACTTGATCATGGTGATTTATCATTTTGATGTGCTGATGGATTTGGTTTGTTAATATTCTGTTGAAGATTTTTGCATCTATGTTCATCAGGAATATTGTTCTGTAGTTTTCCTTTTTGTTGTGTTCTTTCCTGGCTTTGGCATCAGGTAACACTGGCTTCACAGAATGAGTTGGGGAGGATTCTCTCTTTCTTAATCTTTTGGAATAGTTTCAATAGGATTGGTACCAGTTCTTCTTTGAACATCTGGTAGAATTCAGCTGTGAATCTGGTCCTGGGCCTTTTTTTTTTTTTTAAAGATTTTTTATTACTGATTCAATATCAGTACTTGTTACTGGTTTGTTCAGGATTTCTATTTGTTCCTGATTCAAGCTTAGAGGGTTGTATGCTTCCAGGAGTTCATTCATTTCCTCTAGGTTTGTTCAGGATTTCTATTTCTTCCTGATTCAAGCTTAGAGGAATGCTTCCAGGAATTCATTCATTTCCTCTAGATTTTATAGTTTGTGTGCGTAGAGGTGTTTATAGTATTCTTAGATGATCTTTTGTATTTCTATAGTGTCAGTTGTAATGTCTCCATTTTCTTCTATGTTCTTAAATGCAGCTTCTACACAAGATTCCTGCATACTGTAGAAAATTTTATTTTTTTCACCAAGCCCAATTAATTTAGCTTAGCTGGAGAACTATTAAGAAGTGTGAAGACACAAATAAGAAACGAACGACTTCATTCCATAAATGTAAGTAAAGGAAATTCCAGTGATGGCTTTTGCTGCACGAAGAGAAACCAGGCTAAGTTGAACTATTAATATTCGCTTTAGACTGCGTAATTTCTAAATGGTAACTATTCATACCTACCATTCATCCTAACCATACCTTCAGGCTTGGCTTAGACACTGGGACCTTTGTGAAGGAAGAGAGGCCTGAGGGAACTGGATTGTAGGAGATGGATGGTGAGAGGAAAGCTGGGGGTAGGGGTAGGCGTGCGTCTGGGCTTGCGTTGACTACATAAGAAGGAGATTTAAAAACTATAAAGACTTTTTAAGATTTTGGAAACTTAGTACCTTCTTCATTTTTACTTTTTTTTTTTTTTTTTTTTTTGAGATGGAGTCTCGCTTTGTCGCCCAGGCTGGAGTGCAGTGGCGGGATCTCAGCTCACTGCAAGCTCCGCCTCTCGGGTTCACGCCATTCTCCTGCCTCAGCCTCCCGAGTAGCTGAGACTACAGGCGCCCGCCACCACGCCCGGCTAATTTTTTGTATTTTTAATAGAGACGGGGTTTCACCGTGTTAGCCAGGATGGTCTCGATCTCCTGACCTCGTGATCCGCCCGCCTCGGCCTCCCAAAGTGCTGGGATTACAGGCGTGAACCACTGCGCCCGGCCCATTTTTACTATTTTTTATTCCTCTTTTCTGTTTTCTGATTGGGATTGGCAATAAAATCTCAAATATGGGGAAAATAATTTTTTACATAACATTTTTATGTTTTATAATTTTATATAACATTTTAATGTTTTATAATTTTTTATATAACATTTTAATGTCTTATAAAAACAAAATTATATGACATTTTTCTAGGTGAACTTATTCTTGGTGTTCCTGGGATGTCTATAGACAATGTTACAGTAACTTTTGACTACAGATCATTTTTTTCAAATGATATAATATTGATAAAGTAATTGTAGGGCTCCCAAAATAAAATGAGTTGGTTTTGAGCCTATGGATGAGAAATCTGCTGGGGAAATGGTCAAATTTTATGTATGTATTTAATAGCCATGTAGTGGAACAAAAATTTAAAGGCATTACATCATGTTTATTTTATTTTAATTAAAACAAAAGAACAACCCATTTACATTATTTATTTAAATTATAAAATATTACAGAACAGGCTGGGAGCGGTGGCTCATGCCTGTAATCCCAGCACTTTAGGAGGCTGAGGTGGGTGGATCACCTGAGGTCAGGAGATCGAGACCAGCCTGGCCAACCTGGTGAAACCCTGCCTCTACTAAAAATACAAAAATTAGTTGGGCGTGGTCGTGGGCGCCTGTAATCCCAGCTACTCGGGAGACTGAGGCAGGAGAATCACCTGAACCCAGGAGGTGGAGGGTGCAGTGAGCTGAGATCGCACCATTGCACTCCAGCCTGGGCAACAGAGCGAAACTCTGTCTCAAAAAAAAAAAAAAAGTTATTCAATTGGTGACATACATCAACTTGTGAGTTCAGGAATCTAGTGCTCTCTCCTTTAATTTCCTGCTATTTTCAAGTATAATAAAGCATTACACACACACACACACACACACACACACCTCTTTAATTGTGAAAATTTCCAAACCTGCAGAAAACTTGGGAAAAATAAAATAATACTTGAAAGCTGCTATGGTTTGAATGTGTCTCCCAAAGTTACTAGGCTCTTCCTTTTGCTAGAGCTAGGACATATATATTAGTAAATCATTAGTTAAAACTGACATTTCTAGTTCAAAATATTTTTCTAGTTCAAATTTAATATTATTGTTTTAATTCAACTACGTTTACTTGCTTTTCATACATTAAAAATCTCAGTTCTGAATTACATGAACATAATCACTGATTTGCTTTATTTTATACATAACATAAAGTTGTTATATATAAAACATTGGAAACTTAATCCCCAATGCAACAACGTTGAGAAGTGGGACCTTTAAAATACGATTAGGTCATCTCTTAAAGAGATGGGCAGAGCCCTCATAAAGGGCTTAATGCCATCATCTCTAGAGTGGATTAGTTATCTCATCTCAGGAGTGAATTCCTGATGAAAGGATGAGTTTGACTCCTTTCCTCTCCTTCATCCTTTCTCTCCTCCTTTTTTCTTCTGCCTTTTTTCTTCATCACAGCAAGAAAGCCCTTGCCAGATGTTGGCACCTGACATTAGGCTTCCCAGCCTCCAGAACTGTGAGAAACAAATTTCTTTCTTTTCTTTTTTTTTTTTTTTTTTTTTTTTTTTTTTTGGTAAATTACCTAGTCTGTGGTATTCTGTTATGGCAACACAAAATGGACTAAGACAAATACCCATCATATAGATTCAACAACTGTCAAGATTTTGCTGTGTTTGTTTGAACTGTGTGTGTATTCTGAATTCATTCCGAAGTAAATTAGAGATCTAGCATTTCATCCCTAAATACTTTAGCATAAAGATGACTTGATACATAACCGTGGTACTGTAATCATACTAAACAAAACTGAAAACAGCTCTCTAATATCATCGATTACCAGTTCATATTCAAATTTCCCCATTTGTCTGAAAAGTGCTTTTATATCTGTTTTTCCTCAAAGATATTGCCAAGAATCATTCACTAAATTTGATTGTAATGTCTCTTAATTCCCACTATTCCACCCATTTTTTAAACAGCATCTTTTTAGAGAGACAAGGCCAGTAGAATCTCTCACATTTTGAATTTGTGTGATTGGTTCTTTGTGGTTTCATTTGACTTATTCCTCTATCCAATGTATTTTTTTTATAGACTAGAACTTTTTGAAACAAAGGCTTGACTAGATTTAGATGAAAGATTTTTGACAATAATTCTTCATAGGTATTGCTGTGTACTTTGCATTTCATCTTATTAGGAAGCATATGCTTAATGTCTTGTCCTATTATTGGTGAGGCTAAACTTGATCACTCAGTCGAGGTGATGACAGCCATCACCTCTGTAAAGGTATTTCTCCCATTTGACAATAGCAAATAATCTATGACCATGATACTTTGGCATGATGTGACTCTCTTGTTCCTCACTGTCTATTCTCCTAATGGTTTTAACATATATGATGCCTTCCCTGAATCAATGATCACATTAGGCTTACAAAATGCTGGTTTTCTAATTCTGTTATTTTTCCCAACATTTATTCACTGGTACTCTGAAGGGTAGACCTTTTTTCATCAGTGGAACATTTCCTTGTGAAATGTCAGGATATATACTTGTTTTCTTTAAGCACCAATTTCCTGTGTTATGAATTGGAAGATCACATCCAGTGGTAATATCAATGGGTTGTTGTTGCTTTCTTTTTAAAATCTGTATTCGACTATTAATAGGAACCCATGGATTTTTATATACTCAATGTGTTTAATTATATTATAGTCATCTTTTTGATGTCTGAGTTGTTCCAGTTTTGGCCAATGGAAGCTCCTTCAAACTGGCTGACCTGTTTTTTTGACATGACTCTATTAGTCTTTGAACAGTGCCTTGTTTTATGAAAACAATGAGATACTCACACTTGCTTTGTATTTTCCATAACTCAGGCCTGGAACTGGTCACTTCTCCAAGAAGCTCTATTTCCTTTGAGTGGGAAATGATATTTACACACTACAATCTGTGCATTGAGGATGCTCATTGCTACAGGGCTACTATTAGGCTCTTTCATTTGCTAGAGCAGGGACATATATGTTAGTGAATCATTAGTTAAAATTGACAGTTCTAGTTCAAATATTTTTTCTAATATTATTATTTTAATTCAGCTACTTTTACTTGCTTTTTATACATGAAAATCTTAGTTCTTTTTTTTTTTTTTTTTTTCTTTGAGATGGAGTCTCTCCCTGTTGCCCAGGCTGGAGTGCAATGGTGCAATCTCCGCTGACCTCAACCTCTGCCTCCCAGGTTCAAACAATTCTCCTGCCTCAGCCGCCCGAGTACCTGGGATAACAGGCGCCCGCCACCACACCCAGCTGATTTTTTGTGTGTTTTCAGTAGAGACGGGGTTTCACTGTGTTGGCCAGGCTGGTCTTGAATGCCTGACCTTGTGATCCGCCCGCCTTGGCCTCCCAAAATGTTGGGATTACAGGGATGAGCCACTGCCCCCGGCCTAAAAATCTTAGTTCTTAATTATATTAACATAATCACTGATTTGCTTTATTTTATATATAGTATAGTTTCAAATAAGGATACAAATATTACTTAACCATAAAACAACTGAATGATGTTCAAAGTTCTGATAGTTCTTTTTGTCCTTAGAATATATTCTATTAAGTCAGCTGGGGCAACATAATGAGACCCCATTTCTATTTAAAACATGTATTTTAATTAACTGGGTATGGTGGCATGTTCCTGAAGTCCCAGCTACTGTACTTGGGAGACCGAGGTGGGAGGATCACGTGAGCCCAGGAATTTGAGGGTGCACTGAGCTATAATCACACCAGCGCACTCCAGCACTCCAGCCTTGGCTGGCAACAGAGCAAGACCCTGTCTAAAAAAACAACAAACAACAAACAACAACAACAACAAAAAATAGAGAGAGAAGAGAGAGAGTAAGTGTATTCCACCAAGAACATACAGTAGTATCTTTTAATATCACTTGGGATACTTATTTTTTCTGTGTGGTTCAGTTCTATTTGTTTTAAATTTTAGAGGTTTTTGTCAATTTTTTATTAACATTGTAAATTATTTATACGTTTCAAAGGTCAATATTCACTTCTCACTTCTATTCTCCCTTCCTTCCTAAAAGTAGCCATTTTTATTAATTTCTTGTTTATCCTTCCAATGCAGCTTTTTTCCCCCTTTGGAGACATGGTCTCACTCTGTTGCCCAAGCTGGAGTGCAGTGGCACCATCATAACTCACTATAGCCTCGAACTCCTAGGCTCAAATGATCCTCTTGCTTCAGCGTCCTGAGTAGTTAGGACTACAGGGGGTACCACCATGCCTGGCTAATTTTTTTATTTTATGTAGAGACAGAGTCTTGCTATGTTGGCCAGGCTGGTGTTAAATTCCTGACCTCAAGTGATCCTCCCACTTCATCCTCCCAAAGTGTGGGGATTATAGGCACAAGCCACCACATCTGACCCAATCCACCTTTTTGAAAAAATATGTATCTTTCCTCTTTCTTACCCCAAAGGCAGTACATAGTTTAATCATTGTATTGCACTGTGAATTTTCCACTCTAACCTAGAGATTCCTCCGTATTAGTTCAAAGAGATCTTTCTCATTCCTTTTCGTTAGACTTTTTCCTTTAATTGATACATGATATTTTACATATTTTATTTATGAGGTACATGTGAGTATCTGTTACATGCATACAATGAGACTAATGATCAAGTCAGGTATTTGGGGTATCCTTCACCTTGAGCATTTATCATTTCTATGTGTTGGCAACATCTCAAGTCCTCTCTTCTAGCTACTTTGAAATATACTATATATATATATATATATATATATATATATATATATATATATATATATATTGTTGCTGACTACAGTCACCCCAGTCTGCTATCAAACATTGGAACTTATTTTTTCTATCTCCTCATTCTTTTTAACAGCTTTGCATTACTCCATTGTGCAGATGTACTATAATTTTTTCAACTATTGTACTCTTACTAGGCATGTTTCCAATAATTTTCAATTGTTACAAATAATGACATATCATTTTTAAAAGGCAGATTACTATATAATAAAGATACATACTTCACTTTGGGAGGCCAAGGCGGACGGATCACAAGGTCAGGAGTTCGAGACCAGCCTGGCCAATATGGTGAAACCCTATCTCTACTAAAAATACAAAAATTAGCTGGGTGCGGTGGTGAATGCCTGTAGTCCCAGCTGCTCGGTAGGCTGAGGCAGGAGAATCACTTGAACCCAGCAGGCGGAGGTTGCAGTGAGCTGAGATGGCACCACTGCACTCCAGCCTGGGCAACAGAGCAAGACTCTGTCTCAAAAAAAACAAAAAACAAAAAGATACATATTTAAGTTTGGCATTTCCTTACATGTATTAAAATATGTTTTAACAGAAAAATATTACTTCTATTGATTTGTTTTTGGTTAGGTTATTAACACTCTCCTAAACACTTCGGTTTCATGCAACAATTTAGGAAATATCTGGTGTGCTTCTTAGTGAATGTGGAGATACTGGATTTGACAAATATCAGTTGGTTAGACTAGTGTTTGGCACATTGGAAGTGCTCAATAATAATAGTCAATACTATTATGAAAGATAATAGTATTAACAAAACAATACTTGTTAATATCAGAAAAACAAATTTTAATTTATTTTTCTTTATGCGGACATGTCATCAGGGAATTTGAGAGCAGGGTGACTACATTTTGTTTTAGTCAGCTGGGGCTTTAAACATTTATTGAGTAACCACCATGTTTCAGGCATTACAGTAAGAACTTGTACCTGAAGCAGATCCATATACTGAAGGCCCGAGGAAAGGAATAAAGGGCAACTGGGAACCTGACCAGGTCTCAAGAGCGGTGTTGGGACTCTAGGGAGGAGGCAGCAGAACGTTTCCAGTGGACGGAAGTGCCGGGGAGTCCACCTTGGGAGACCTTAGGCTTACTCAGATTTGGAGGCTCCAGGTGGGGTGGATGCAAACCACAAGATGGAGCCAAATTACAAGTCATAGGTAGCAACCTCCTAAACCACAAGGAGGAGAGGAGAGGAAGTGAAGTCGCTCCTCTGCGTGCACGATCACTTGTCTGGAAGCTTTTCTGAAGTCAGAGAGAAAGGAAAGCCTGAGAAGTGGGACATCATTCATTGAAAGGCATCTGTGTGTAGAGATAAATAGGGTAACATGATAGGGAGAGATTGGAGATAGGTGGTTTATTTAGCAAAGTTGGTCAATGAAGCTTCTCTGAATTGGTGCCACACGAGTTGTGAATGGGTGATGAATTGGAGGCATTAATGTTAAGGAGAATTCTGGGGAAGATAGTGTGGCTATTGCTTAATGAAAGAAGGAAGAGTAGAGGGAAGTAAAGATGAAGACACATGCAGCGCCAGATCATATAGAGTCTTGTTGACCAGGAGGGAATTTAGACTAAGCAAGAAAGAAAGTCTGAACTGGGGGAGTGCTTCGACTGATCCAGGAGGGAGAAGAAAATCTCTTCAGTAATTCCATCCCCAGTCATTCTTCAAGCTCACCTCATTCCCTGCAGCCTGTTGCTGCTGAAGCCTCAGAAGAAGTTTGTTCCCAAAGTTGGGAATACCTCCTCCTACACATTTCCTAGTAATGCTGATGTCTGACCCTGTTCATCCTGCCTCATGTCTCACAAGCTGGTCTCCATTCGCTGCTGAGTAGGACAGTGCAGTGGAAAGAACATGGGCTCTAGCATCACACAGACCTTCCAACCACCTCCTAGCTGTTTGACCTTGGGCAAGTTAGGTAATTTGAATCCTAGCTTCCTTCTTTATAAAATGAAATCATTATACTTAACTTGCAGATTGGTCATAAGGAAGAAATGAAATAATTCATGTATGGCAGAATGATGCTTTTCTTTTTCCTTTGTTTGTATTTAGGTTTGTCACACAAGACAATAGCACATGTCACCGCCAAGGCCTTTCCTCTTCTGGCTTTGGATTTCCCAAAATCTGAAGCTCACTTGACATTATGCCAGGTGTCCCAGACATTGTGCCAGAGAGAGAGAGGGGAATGCCTTTGACAGGCAAAGGGGGAAGGTTCTCCCAAACTGAGGAAGGCACAGTGGCCTGTGGGTCTGAAAGAGCCCTGCTTCCTTGCAGCAGCCAAGGCAGGTGGGGAGGCCTCCCAGGGACGGGGAAGTTGGCCGTATGGTGCATCTTTGCAGTCCTGCTCCCAGGCACTGGGGATCACTCCTCACTAAAGATTCCCCTGCCCCAAGCCTAGTGCAGAAGCAGCAGAGCTTCCACTTGGAAAAGAGCATACAGGTTAAGCCCTAGGCATGCTTGGAGTAAACAGTCTGGACTGGAGAAGACAACAGGGGCTTCTCCAAGGCCTCAGCACTGTGTCAGGGCGCAGACCCTTGGAACAACTGTAAGAGACCAGAAGCCCCAATAAAGACAGATTGAACTTAAAACCAGCCTCATGGCAGGGGTTTTGAATCAGATTTAAGATTTTTTAAAGAGCAGGTTTTGAATCAGATTTTCGATTATTTAAAGACATTTACTATTTTTTGCACTCTGTGCACTATCTTATTAATCTTTTGGACCAAGATTCAAATCCACTACACGTGAAAAGCATTAAGGCCAGGCACATTGCATGTGTTGGGTAAACGGTAGCCAATGTTATTAAAACCAGCTGCAGACAGTCGGACCAGGCTGGATTTGAAGCAAACAAAATTGAATTAAATAGAATTCTACAGTGTTTCAATGCCCATTATGTTCTGGGTGTTGGAACTATAAGACACAGCCTTCTCTTGCTTTAGAGGAGCAGTTAGTGGCAAAGGCAAATTCATACACAGTCAACTGACACAGGGCGGAATGTGGTATGCACTGCAGGGACAGGGTGGCCAGCATATTGGGGGCTGGGATTGAAAATGCTTCACAGAAGAGGTGACATTTAATCTGGACCCTGGAAGGACAGGTAGAATTTTGACTGGTTGGTGGAGGAAGGCAGGTCCAGCACAGAGAATAGTTTGTGCAAAGGCAGGGAGGAGTAAACATGCGACAACAGTTTTCTGTGACTTAAGCATTGATCATTTTCAGGAGGAGCTATTATATGGTTAAAATAGGCCAGGTGCGGTGGCTCATGCCTGTAATCCCAGCACTTTGGGAGGCCAAGGCAGGCGGAGCACCTGAGGTCAGAAGTTCGAGACCAGCCTGGCCAACATGGTGAAACCCGGTCTCTACTAAAAATAATAAAATTAGCCGGGCATGGTGGGGGGTGCCTGTAATTCCAGCTACTCAGGAGGGTGAGGCAGGAGAATTGCTTGAACCTGGGAGACAGAGGTTGCAGTGAGCTGAGATTGCACCACTGCACTCCAGCTTGGGTAACAGAGTGAGACTCTACCTCAAAAAAAAAAAAAAGAAAAGAAAAAAAGAAAAAGAAATACCCTGAGGACGGTTTGAGAAGGGTCTTCATCTTGTAGGTAATGGAGCACCTATAAGAATTTAAAGGAGGAAGGGAAAAAGCAGATATCCTATAAGCTTCTGAGAGAAAAAAACAACAACGATTACGTACAAAGTTTCATGACACAATATCTTTTGGATTATCAACAATAACGCAGGAAGCTAAGGGATTATAGAGAAATGCCTTAAAAATTCTGATGGAAATGATTTCCAATCTTGAATTTTATAACCGTGGAAGCTATTATTCAAGTGTGAGAGTAGAATAAATATATTTTCCGACATACGAAGCATAAAAAGTTTTCCTCATATGCACTGTTTCTCAGGAAGTGGAAAGAAGAGGTGCCTCATTAAAATAAGGCAGACCACAAAAGGGCAATGACTGGATACAAGAAGCAGAAGATCCAACTCGGAGGATAGGTAAATCCTGACGAGGATGGCGAAGAGTGATCTCAGAGTGACCGCTGTATCATCAAGGGCAAGGAGTTAAGAATGGAGCAGACAGAAGGTTCTGGGAGAGTTATATCTGGTGATAAAATTGACAGAATACCTGATGTGTTTGATTGTACTGTGAGGAATTTTGTGATTCATTAATAATAAGTACAAATACAGCCACACAAAGGAAAACAGGACAACTATATACTCCAGAGAAAACGAAGTCGTCTAGAAAAGGAAGAGTGAGCATGGCTTGCTCTATGGTTTGCCATTACATGGTCATATTGATAGAAACATAGTAAACACAGTAACTTTTACTATATTGTAAAAATTACAATATAGTCACATTAAAAGAAAGGGCATGGGAAAGGGGGCATGATGTTCTTTGAGGATGAAAAAAATCTAAATCCCCCTCTTCCACAGCAGGAGGTAAAGAGATAAAGCCTAAAGCTGAAAAATCTAGATGTAGCAACACAAACATGTTATTTAGAGATGGGAGGTTAATACCAACAAAACATATTAGAACAATTGAAAGTTATTTTCTGTAAGGGTGAGGATATGGTGGGAGATGGGGCTGGAAACTGGTATTTCTGTAGCAAATATTGTAGAAATATTTGACTCTTTAAACTATAACATAATTTGGTTAAAAATTAAAACCGAAAGAGAGTGGATGGGAAGAGGGGATCTGGAGGCAGTCCACGTAGACACTCTCAGAGAGCGTGACCAGGAGCTTGGGTGGAAGGGAGACTGGGTCAAGGACAGACAGAGGATTTGATGTTCTTGTTATATAGGAGAGATGACATGCTTATGATTTGTAGGGTGACCCTGCAAAAAGGGAGAGTTTGGATACAAAGGACAGGAGACTACTGGATGTCTGTTCTAAAAGAGAGTGAAAGATCAAGAATGCAGGAGGACAACTTGTTTTTTAAAATAAAAGACTACGTACCTTGAGACTAGAAACAAATGTGAGTATACACGCAGGTGCATAAATCTAAAAGCTCTGGAATTACTCCTAGAAGTTCCAGTGACTTCAGGGTAGTATATGCAACAGTAAAAAAAAAGCATATTTCTTTAGTCAAAAGAACACAATTTTAATGACTTTATCAAGCCTTAGGACAGAGATGAGAGAAACACCTTTCCAATGATGCATCAAGTTAACGTCTAAGCAAAAGATCAGCAGAGATCAGAGATTGTTGGGTACACACGTATCTTGTGATGTCTTCTGAGAACCAACTTATTCCTCTTTCTCTGAGAAGAACTTGACCCCTCGCCCCGGGGCTGAGTGCTTGGCAGCCACATTTGTGTTGAGATCTTGATTCCTGCTCTAACTACACAGGGCTGGGATGGACACCTGCTCCAAGTTTGGCCAGTCATTTATTTTTCCAGTAATTTAAAGCTGTGACTAGGAGACACAGCCTCTGTGGGTTGTGAGGGTTGAGATGATATAAACTCAGGAGCTGTCGGGTGGACATGTTCACTGAGAAGGACAGTCAGTCCACAGAGAGAGAACACCGCTAACATGCAGGGGGGTCTAGAGAACACAGACCATGTGGATCCGAGAGTGTTGGAGGGGCAGCTCTAGCTTCTCTGGGCTTTTCGGATCCGAGTTCTGTTCCTGGGAGGCCTGGCTAAAATCTACCCTTGGGCCCTGCACTCCTCCCCATGGCTATATTGCAAATATCCTATACTTTGCATGTGATCACACAAAGAGGGTTTCTGTTACTGGCACACAAAAAGTTTGCCTGAGATGATTCTCCTCCACTTCCATCAGGGTCTTCTGGTCATTGATTTCAACTTATTCTCTCTTAAGAAGCCCATTGAGTCCCCATAATCTCTTGGTTTCTTTCTTTTCCAGGACCAACTGCTCACAGTTCAAACCCTCATTTTGCCTCTATTTACTTGTACCTTGATTGGCTGATGCCCTAACAGACCCAGGTTCTTCAGAAAGCCTTCCTAGTCCACCTCAGACCTTGGGGATCCCCCTTTCCCATGACCCCCGATGGCACCTGATTACGTCACTGGGTTCCAGTTACCAGACCACAGCCAAGGTCCAGGATGGCTGCATCAGAGTCATCCAGAGCCGGTTAAAAATGACAGCCTCGGCTGGGCACAGTGGCTAATGCCTGTAATTCCAGTACTTTGGGAGGGAAGGTGGGTGGATCACGAGGTCAAGAGATGGAGGCCATCCTGGCCAACATGATGAAACCCCGTCTCTACTTAAAATACAAAAATTAGCTGAGTGTAGTGGCGCACACCTGTAGTCCCAGCTACTCAGGAGGCTGAGGCAGGAGAATGGCTTGAACTCAGGAGGTGGAGGTTGCAGTGAGCTGAGATCATGCCATGGCACTCCAGCCTGGTGACAGAGTGAGACCCCTTCTCAGAAAAGACAGCCCCCCTGTTGCTGCCCCCTGCACTCCCGAGATTCTAATTCAGTAGGTCTGGGTGATGACTGTTATTTTTATATTTTATTTATTTATTTATTTAGAGACAGGGTCTCACTCTGTCACCTAGGCTGGAGTGCAGTGGCGCAATCTTGGCTCACTGCAGCCTTGAACTCCTGGGCTCAAGCACTCCTCCGGCCTCAGCCTCCCCAGTGGCTGGGAATACAGGTGCGAGCCACCATGCCTGGTTAATTTTTAAATCTTTCTTTGTAGAGATGGGGTCTCTCTATGTAGCCCAAGATGGTTTCCACCTCTTGGCCTCAAGCAGTCCTGTCCCCTTGGCCTCCCAAAGTGCTGGGATTACAGGAATGAGCCACTGCACCAGGCCAATGCCTGTACTTTTAAAAGGATCCCAAGCAGTTCTTATGTGCATTCTGGTTTGAAAACCGTAATCTGTATTGCTCATTTTGGTCTTGACATAAACTATGTGGTATGGTGATTTATCTCTTTGTATGTTTTAAATTCTGTTCACAGAAAAGTAGACCAAAATCTTCTAGGCCACATATTTAGAGTGTGTCTAGGTGGACCTCCCCTCTTACGAGATACCTTGCAGACCGACTCTACCACCTCCTACCTAACATGACTGACTCCACTGAGGGAAGTGGCCACCTTATCCAAGCCTTGGGCCTCTCTTTATCATGCATGGGACTCTAGGGAAAGTAGAAAAAGGAGATAACATCATGGCAGGATACCAGTGGCCTCTTCATACAGAGTAAACCCAGGCAGGAGTGGAGTCCCCATGAGCCTGTCTTGTCCCAGCACCCTTCAGAACTGTTGTTAGCTGAGGGGGTCGTGAGGAACAGGATAATCTGCATCCCTTTCAGGGTAAACCTGAACTCAGGAGGCAAATTTCATGAAGTCCATGTGAAATGGCTCATTCACAAAGTAACACACAATGGGCCAAATGGAGCAAGACACACCTGTGTGGGCCCCAGGACGGCTGCCAATCCCCAGCACCACATGCCTCACCCCTGGAAGAACTGGCCAAGGCCTGGAAAGGACACAGTGCAAACACCACCAAAGCATTTAGTGCTGCCAGCCAGAGCTTTGGGTAGAGCAAGAATGTGTGTTTGTGTTGAATGGGAAGGGAAGCTAGTAGGTGTCCAACAAACCCTGCCATGAATACTGGGGCCAAAAAAGAGGGGACCCGTAGGACAGATGTTGATCCCACTCAAAGTCAGCACAGCGGGATGCACTTAAAGGGCACTGAGCACGCAGGGGCTGTCACAAACCCATGAGGATCTGCAGGGTGTCTCCCACAAGTCATTTCTCTCAGAAGGATCATTACCTAAAATAGCAGAAAACATACGATCGAGGTTGCTCAATTTCAATATGCTGGGATCCTATCTCTGAGTGCCCACCTCCCCCAAAACCTCACTCTCTCACCCCACCTCTGCTTCTTTTCTCCCTGCCCATTTCTTTTCTGACTTCTTTCCCCACAACAGAATCTCTGATTCTCCACCCACGTCCTGTTCAGAGTCATCCACTTTCCTCCCCCACCCCCCAGACTCCCGGGGCCTCTGCACCTGGGGACACTGGACACATATGTGCCCATGATGATGAGGACGGTGCCCACGAGGAAGCCCACCAGGCCGATGGCCAGACCCAGGGCACAGACCAGGGTCTCCATGGCATCTGGTGGTGGAATAGGCACCTGGAGCTCTAGGAGAGAAAGGAAGGAGTCGGTGGTATATGAAAGGATTCTAGAGTAAAGGAAACCTGGGGCCAGGAGGGTGCATGGGGAGGGGGCTCCGTACCCCAATGCCTGAGGAGTGGCGCATCCAGGCCCCAGTGCTCCACCTGGCAGTCATAGACGTCCTCGGCTGAGGGCACGAAGGGCAGGTAGTGGAACTTGCGGAACAAATGGTCAGGCTGGGAATAGAAGCTGGTCTGGGCCACTCCCTCAGTGACAGTTTGGCCGTTGCGTAGCCAGGTGATATTGATCACAGGGGGGAAGATGTTGTCCACGATGCAGATGAGGATGTTGGGCTGGCCCAGCTCCACCCGAGACTTGGGGAGCACGGTCACCCGTGGAGGCACTAGGAGGAACGGGCCCTGAGTCCACAGGCTCATCCCTCACCCCAGGGCCTTACTAGGACTGGGATTAAGGGACGTTCCCCCTTTGTAGCCATCTGTGGGCAGGGGATGCTCTGGGGTATCCACTGGGGCAGGAGAGGAGGGAAACAGAGGGAGAGGAGACTGGGGAGGGAGTGGGGACGCCAGGAGCTCCTATATTTGACTGGTCCCTGGGCGGGAGTCCGGGTGAGAGGTGTCATTCCTCAAGGAGAGGGGTGCCAAAGGGGTCTGGGAAGACCTGGAGCCTCCTGGGAAAGAAAGGAACAGGGCATGACAGGCGCGGGCGCTGAGAGCGCGCCCCAGAGTGATGGGAACCTAGGAACTGGGAGGAAGTTTCTCTGGACCTTCCCGCCTGACTGGGTGGGCAGAGGGAGGGCCGGTACCGTTGATGGCTCTGCTGCGGTTGGAGCGCTCCACCAGGATGTCCAGATGGGCTTTGATTGCGGCGATGCCGGCCAGCCCACCCTGCGGGTCAAAGCGGGCAAAGTCACCAAACTCAGGCAGACGCCACACGGCCTCGCTTTTCTTCAGGTCCACAGAGAACAGCTGTTCCTCATCAAATTCATGGGTGAACTGGCCCGAGGCGCCGTAAGACTGGTAGAAGGCGGGTCCGTAGGAGCCCATGTGGTCAGCTGTGTTTGGCGAGTTCAGGGTCAAGGAGAGAGAAAAAAATGTGTCTGTCTCATCCACAATATGTGATTGTTGAGTCCCTGAGCCTGGGCCCCGTCCTGGGTTCTGTGTGGGGACAGAGTCCTGTTCTGACACTGGGCTGGCCCTGGGAGAGAGAAAGGGAGAGAGAACAGGAAGAAAGAGGCTCATCCCAGCACACTGCAGTCGGCACAGAGACAGTGCAGTCTGGCATATCAGGATGGGAAGAGGAGGGACTGCCTAAAATCATGCTTGGGGTTCCAGAATTTAAATCTTGGCTGTGGTCATCTGCCCTGGCTGTGTTGTCAGGCCCTGTGTTGTGAGCTGGTGGGACTGTGGGGGTGGGATGAGGAGGAATGATTAAGGACAGGAGAGTATGGAGCTTTGCACAGAGATGCAGTGCAGGTGGGTGTGAGGGGAAACAGGCCACGGCTGGCAGGGGTAAGAATTAAGGTTAGTGACCCAGAGACCAAGGGGATAGGGAGAGGCAACTCAAGGCATTACAAAGAGCACTGGACGAGGAGTCAGAAGTCAAGGTTCATGTCCCAATTCCTCCATCTCAGAGCATTATGACTGAGTGTGGCTCTTCCATAACTGTTGTCTAGTTTTCTGGAAGTTAGGGATTAAGTTTTAATTCTTGTAGAACTCTATGAAGTTGTTTGAGCAACAGTTATTGAGGAACTAGCATGCACCCAGCACAATGGGGGGCCAGGGAAATAAAAGAAAAAAAAGATGAACCATCTGTAGACCCGCACCCCAGCTCATGTCTCCCGAAGAACAAAGACAGGTAAATAGTTAACTACCGGCATGGGCATAAATACTGCAACAGAACTGGACTTGATCGGGCACATTCCAGGCCAGGGGTGGTAGAGAAATCAGGGTGCTTGCTGGCATCTGTTGGGTGGAGGTTTGGGTCTCAGGAAGGAGGAAGGAATGAGGAGAAATCTGAACGTCAGCAAAGGCTGACTGGGGCACCTGCGCAGCTGACCGAGCTGCATCTTCATTTAGGTCCAGAGTGGATGTGACAGAGATGAGGGGGATTGGGTGTCTCTTGGTGAAGGAAGTTGCCCATAAACCAGAGAGCGAGAGGAACAAGCATCCTCCATGCCACCTCCTCATGTAACCCAACTCCGTAAATCTCTGCTCCCCGCCGCACCCTCCTCGCCCTCGCACTCACCCTTGGTGGCCCCTGCCTCCTGCGGGCTCAGGAGGGTCATCAGGGTGTGGAACCCCAGGACCAGCCCTGCTCTGAGGGCCATTACACTCTGGTGCTTTAATCAAATCAGTCTCAGTCCGTGTGGTGAGGACAGGAACAAGGCGGAGGTAAAGAAGAAGAAAACAGATTCGAGGATGGGGGCGACCCCTTCTGTCTTCAGCCAATCACAGAAATTCTCTGAGTGAATGTATCTGTTGCTGGGTAAAGAGGGAAAGAGCCGGGGTGAGAAGGTGGAAGGATTCACTGGGCCCCCAGGAGAGGCCAAAGGAAGTTTTGGAGGATGGGAGGGGCTTGGACCAACTATTACCACGTCCTCCAAGAAGGGACCCCCTGAAGAGAGAGAAAAGGCCGTCAGAGCACCGCGCAGCTGAGCTCCAACAAATCCTCTCTCTATGTCCATCTGCGATGCAGGGAATCCTACTTTCCCAAGAAGTTTCCGTGGACAAATTTTGAGTTAGAAAGTAAAATAAACTTTACCAATAATCTTTAAAAGGAAAACATTGGCTACACAATGGAATAAAAACCTCTTAAAACTTTAAATCACTTTCAAAAATGTTATTTTATTTTTCTTTTATTATTATTTAATTTCATTGTGTAAGAAAAAATGTGTAATTGTTGGAGTTGTTTGGTCTAAAGCAAAGTGTAAAGAGCTCCCGTGGACTCCCCGAGGAGGGCAGAGGTGCTGGTCCTCTCTGTTGGTCCCTCCAGGACCCGGGCACCTCCTCCAGGCTGACACAGGCTGGAGGACGGCATCACCCTTGCCTTTGGCTTCTGGTTGGGCTCGGCTAATAAGAGGCACTGGGAGAATTTAGTCCAGTATATATATTTAAAAAACAAAACAAAACAAAACAACAACAACGTAAAGCTAACGTCTGTGTAAAGAGAAATCTAACCAAATTAGGCCATGTGTCAAAGACCATGAAATCGATGATTTTCAACTTGGAGGGAGCTAGGAAATCATGCGGGTCTCTGGTTCCAAATGAGAATCACCTGGGGGGTTCGTTATAATACGTGTTCCTGAGTTTCCTCTTTACTTAATGGGTTAGATTAGCCTTTCCAAGGCAGGGCCAGGGAACCTGTGTTTTCAGCATGCTCCCCAGGTGGTTCTCGGGTAGTCTGTGGACTGGTAAAACCTGCTCCAATGCTCTTTCCTCAATGAATAAGGGATGCCTATTTTAAGTGGGGCAGACACAGCTTCTGACTTCAAATTAATCAAATGACAGCTAGTAATTGATTTGCATGGCCCGGTTTATGGGGAGCCCTAATCTTAGTTTTTTCGTTTCTAGTCCACAGTGTCTACGTAATGCCTAGCACATCATAGGCGCCTAGGAGACACCTGCGCATGAATGAACAGTGTCTTCACTGCTTTGGTCCTGCCCTGGTTAGGACCCTTGCCACCTTCACCTCCCCCCAAGTGAGGTGGGAGCTGGAGCCATGAGATGAAAGACGGGAAAGCCATGAAAAACTCATGATAAAGAATGTTGCTTCTTTGGTTAATAACAGTCGAGTATCGGGTGTTTTTTTTTATTTGAAAACATACATAGATTTTTTAAAGTATGTTTTTTGTTATTAACTTATAATTTAATTACATGATAATCCTCTATGGCTTGGAGTGTGGTGAACTTCTGTAAATATTTCACATGGGCTCTAATAAATGTGATGCAGAATTTTATACATGTACATGTTTATTGGATCAAGCATGTGGATTTTGTCATTCTAATTTATTACGGTTTTCTTTATCTTTGGACTGGCCTATACATAACTAAGAGTGGTGCATTTATTTATTTATTTTTTAGAGACAGGGCCTTGCTCTGTTGCTCAGGCTGGAGGGCAGTGAAGTAATCATGGCTCGCTGCAGCCTCAAACAGCTGGGCTTAAGCGATCCTCCTGCCTCAGCCTCCCAGAGTAGCTGGGACTATAGGCATGCCCCACAATTCCTGGCCTATGAATGGTATATTTAAATCTCTAACTGTGACTGTAGGTTTTTCAACTTGTTTCTAATTTTTAAATCAACTTTTGCCCTCTCTGCATTTAGGTTATTAAGGTGTTTACTCTTGGGAATTATTACAGTCTTGGTGAACTGAGCCTTTTCCCAATTTGTCCTGAGAATCTTTCTGTCCTACTCTGTCTTGTCTGATAGTAATAAGTTCTACAGCTGTCTTTGGGTATTTGTTCACTGTATCTTTTTCTACTCTTTTGTTTTTACTCTTCCTTTGTACTTATGCTTTAGATGTAGCCCTTGAAATGTCATAAATATAGATTTTTGCTTCTGATTCAATCTGACGATCTCTGTCTTCTAACCTATGTTCAATTCATATGGTAGTCAAAGTGAGCAAACTTGTTTCTGCAAGAGACAAACACTGAAGCCTCAGTGGTTTAACAAAACACAGGTTTATTTTTTAGCCACGTGTAGTTCAAGGCAGGTTGGGCACTCTGTAGCTCTTTTCCAAAACATGCCTCAAGGTGGCTAAGCTCCACTTTGCATCTCTATTATTGAAAAGCACTTCATGAACTCCTAGCTTTGCAGGTAGGAGAGAGAACCTGGGAAAGGCACATTGTTTCCATGGTTTTGGACCAGAAACTATTTGCCATCTCTGCTCACATTCCATTGGCAAGAAGTAAACAATGACCCCACATAGGCGCACGGGGATGGAAAAATGTACGTTACCTATGTGTGCAGGAAGATATAATGGTTTGGTGAGCACATGGCCCTGTCTTTGCTGCATTCTGATTGTGTTTATTGTGAATATTGATGCACTTGGGCTTGTTTGTAATACCTTATTTATTTCAATATTTCTATTTTTTAAAGTTTTTTTGTTTGTTTGTTTGTTTGTTTTTGAGACGGAGTCTCGCTCTGTTGCCAGGCTGGAGTGTAGTGGCATGATCTGGGCTGGCTCACTGCAACCTCTGCTTCCCGGGTTCAAGCGATTCTCCTCAGCTTCCCGAGTGGCTGGGACTCCAGGTGCATGCCACCATGCTTGGCTATTTTTTTTTTTTTTTTTTTGTATTTTAGTAGAGACGGGGTTTCACCGTGTTGCCCAGGCTTATCCTCCTGAGCTCAGGCAATCTGCCTGGCTCGGCCTCACAAACTGCTAGGATTACAGGCGTGAGCCATCACACCCGGCCAAGTTTTCTTTTTTAATCTTCATTGCCTTTTTTTTTTTTAAGTGTTACCGATACCTTCTCCATCTTCCCTCTGACTGGATAAGAACTTTAGCATGCTTTCAAATTTATTCACATATTTTCTCCTTCACCAAATTATTTGGTCAACATTACTTTTCATATCTTTTGGCACCTTCTAGAATGCGTTCTCTGATTAGAATTCTTCTTCCAAAACCTTTCAGATGTGGGAATTTGCATAGCAAACCTTCTAAAGTCTTGTATGCTTGATAATTTTTTAAAATTATACCAGCACTTTTGAATAAAGTTTAGCTGTGTATTACATACTATTTGAAGTATTTTCCCCTTTAATATTCTAAATAACATCATTCCAAATTTTTTTTTTTGCATCCAATGTCACAGTTAGAAAATCCCATGTCAGTCTTTCATGCTGGAATCTTCTAGAATTTTCTCATTGTCTTTGATATTTTTAAATTTTGCTAGTGTGTCTAGAGTGGGTTTTTCCTTCTCTCTGTAAGACATTATGGATCTTCTCTATCTTTTAATTCTGGGAATTCATCTTTTTATTTCTTTAACTATTTTTCTCCTCTATTTTTTGTCTTTGTGAAACTCATATAATCTATATTTGGATAATTCTCTCCTCCTTTTCCCCTGACTTTTCTATTGATGACTTCTCAATTCTTCCCTCTTTTGTTCTGAACTAGCTCCTCAGTGTAGTCCTCCATCTTTCTGTTTTGTTTTTCAGTTGCATCTCTCCCACTATTTATCCCATTAATGTGGCTTTTACTTTGACTATTATATATATTTTTTACACCTAGAACTTCTAGGTGTTTTCCCTATATTCTCTATTTTTTCATATTATAATAGCTTCTGACTTTTAAAGTGCACTTTTAATGCTCATTTTAAGCGGCTGGTCTATATTTTCTACCACTTCTTTCAAGGACATAGATGGTCCTGTTTGCTGTTTTTCTTTTGAGGTGTCGGCACTCCCTAAAGGTATTATTTTGACCCACTAGTGGCCATCTGTGTTGGTGTCATGTGTGTAAAGAGAAAGGAGGGCCAGCTGGAGTCCTAGGCCAGCGCAAAACCATAGTCACTACCCTTTGGGTGTCACTTCAGGTCAGGACTTCAGGGTGGGAGCACTAGGAGGCGTAGGGAGCACTGATAGCTGGGGTGGCAGAGGAGGCAATGACTAGGGCAGTCCCCAGCTCCTCCCACTCCAGCAGGATTTCAGCTTGGATTTTCTCACCCACCCCTCAACAGCTGGACAGGCAATCAGGATCTTGCCATCGTTTTTTGCAGCAGGGAGCAGGCAGTGATTGCTCAAGGCCAACACCGGGGAGGCAAGAGCAGAAGGTTCCAGGAACCTTCTCATAGCCACAGCCAGCAAGCAACCCAGTTCAGAACACCTTTCAGTCTCACCAGGGCTTCCTCATTATTTGTTTTCTTGGAATGTATATGTATGGTCCACATTCCCTCCTAGATGGAAAGGGCCTGTAAGAAGGGATCATGGATGATTGAATCTTTGTTACACAATCTTCCTTTTCCCCCTAAACGCTAGCACGTTATTAAATAAATAAGTCAATGATAACAAATAAAAGTGAATAAAGTGGATAACCCTGACTCTAGGGAGAGGTACTGTTATTGGGACTAGAGTCTAATAATGAGGCAAACACAGATTCGACAAAAACTTACTAAAGTGTCCTTTAAAAATGACACAAATCCAGTTGTTCTAAATTGTCTAAAATGCTGACTTTGAGGTAAAGTTGTATCTGTCATGTTCTTTGGAGCATGACAAGTTCAGGTAGGTGTTGGGGGATATTCTTCATTAAATACATGTTTATAGGACACCTGATGTGACTTAGGCACTGTGTGCTGCTCTGGGAGCACAGAAGAGCAGGACATGATCCCCTTCCTCAAGGACTGTGCTGTCCTGTGCAGTAGCCACAAGCCACCTGTAGCTATTAAGCCAAAAAAAACTCTAAGTATAAAATGCCCTGGGATTTGAAGACTTAATTAAATGTATATACATAATCTCAGTAATTTCTATATTAATTAATGTTCAGTTTGCAATTTTTTGTATATTTGCGGTTTAAAATATGTATTAGATTAATCTCACCTGTTTCTTATTCCTTTTTAAATGTAGCTACTAGAAAATTTGAAATTGAATTAAGAGGCTCCCATTATATTTCTACTGGACAGCGCTGCTCTGGGTGCTCTTGGTTGGCTACCAGTTGGCCACTGGCTCCTTTTCTGAGATTTTTACATTTAAGTAGCCAGCTTGCCAGAGTCTTCAAGTCCTTTCCTGTTACTACCTAGATATTCCACCAGAGGGCGACCTTACCATTGAATTTTTCCATTCTGGACCTTAGATCTGACTGTTTGCTGGTGCATCGCTCTGTTTTAATCTATTTTGCTTTAAGTGCCGTGCTAGGCTTTGGGACCACAATTATGGTTCCTGCCAACAAGAATGGCTGTCTTGGAAGTCTGTACACAGAACTAAATACGTGGTGGAAAAAGGAGAAGGTCTATTAATGTGCAATATAAATGTTCATGTGGCCTGCAACTTTCTGGGGCAATCCTTTCCCTAGTAATTAAGCAGTTTCAAGTGCCTGTCTAATTGCAGGAATTCAAATGGCTCACTGCTGTCACCAGAATGTCTGATAATTCCTGGACAGAGAAGTGATGCAAATGTGTGCTTACGTATGGAGTTGATGGCATCTCCTGCACCAGCCTCCTGCCCTGGGCAGACTGTTGTGGTCATTTGGGGGCAGCTCCCCAGCACAGCAGATTTCTTGCTGGCCATCACTTTTCAAACTCTGGACTTCTGCCCTTTGGCTGGGAACTGCTCACTTCCCTTAGAACTTTCCCCTCCCGTCTCCTGACTTCTCTAAATGCCAGAGTTCCAACCTCTGTCTCCTGGGAAATTCTAAGCTAAAATCACTCTTCCTTTATATCTGCAGATAGTTTGAAATTTATACATCAAAAAAAGTAACTTTAAAAATATATAACTGGTCTCATTACACTCTGGAGCAACAATTCCAAATGATGGTAGGAAAACCCCAAAATTGGCCATCGAAAGGCATAGATACAGCCCTTCCTGTTTAAAAGAGGTATTTTTGAAAAACTTCAAATGTCTTCTGGGAAAGGCACAATCTTTCACGGTTTCTTCTCTTCCCCCTCTCCCTCCCCCTTTTGGGAATGACATCCTGGGGCAGAGGATGAACTTACAGAGCGTGCTGGCTGTGGGAAGCTGGGTCTAGGTGGCATTTTTTCTCTTTTCTGATGGTTCTCTGCCCCCAGTTCCTTGGCCTGTCCCCATCGCTCGCCAACATTTCCGTGGCTGGTCTAATCTGCGATCGATTATCCCTGACGAAGGCAGTGGGGCTCAGCCACCTTGCCTGCTGGTGGCCCCAGCGTGGCTCTGCTACTACTCACATCCTTCCAGTTTGGCGAGGCTGCAGCCTGATCCTGGGCCCGTGTGTTCTGGGCTGTGGCCCCTGGCTCCAGGCCAGTTCAAGCCTCTCCATGACCATCCTGAACACCAATTTACTGCACGTCAACTCACTAAAATCAACCCATCAACTAATCAGAAATTAATACATCAAATCATCAATTCCCCAATTTTATCAATTTGCCAAAAACTTGACTTTAAAGTTTTGTCCTTTTATATTGAATTTAATGGTTTTTACAACTTTTGAAGACTTCTGAAAATGTTGGTTAATTTGCCTTTCCTTTTGTTTTCATAGTAGCTTATAAGTAATATTCGATTTGTCAGATGTTGGTGATACAGGGAGAAGATGACAATGGTGACAGAGTGTTTTTCATCTTCCCAAGTGTCCTCACAAAAACAGAGAGTGCAATTGGGATAGCAAAGGAAAATATCCACAGGCAGTGTCTCTTTATCAGACCAGGGATATCCCTAGAAGATCCCGTGAGACTCTAGAATGTGTGTGGGTAGATCCAAGCTGTAGATCCAAGGTAGATCCTGTGGGCTCTAGTGCCATGTGGAGGTAGCAGAGGGTTGAGAGGAGAGGGTTCTGGTGTTTCTAAGATCTCAGGAACACAGAAGTGGCC